>NC_000010.11:52264307-52415822 GCF_000001405.40 Homo sapiens
GTGAACCTGCCCTTTGGCCCGGTTAATCTAATAGGATAAGATACTCACAGTCTCTCAATGTAGGGCTTTCTCTCTCCTTCCCCCTCCCCTCCAGCTTTTTTTTTCTTCTTTTCTTCCTTTGCAGAACATTTCACTACAGCACTTGTCTTAAATTCCTTAAGTTATCACAATTTATATTAAACGTGGGTTACTTAAACGTAAAATCATATACCTTGCCAAATTATTTCTGGATTACTTACAAAGACTTTTTCTCCCAGGTTAAAGAGAGCCAAAACTAAAAAATGGCTTTATGCTTCACCAAATAATATAGATTTCCTGAGTAAAATTTTGTGCTATTTTATTTAGAGAAAATATTTGCCATTCCTATTTTGCAGCTATTACAATTACGGTGACTCTGCCTGGATTCCCTTATGCCTTGAAGCCTGTTTTAATGCTCTTCCTGAGAAAGCTACTGCTACTTTTTTCCAGTGTGTGTTCTTTGAAAGTTAGCAACACAGAGAATATAACAGAAACCAATCCCTTCATATGTTGGGGTTGAGAGGGCAGAAAATAAAACCCCCACCCCCGAAGAGAATATGAACATAAATGTAAAGTCAAGGTCATACTTTCAGAGAGGACCATCATGTTTCCTTAAGCGACCTTTGTGTTACTTGGAGTATTTCCCCTTTTCCTTCTTCCCAAGATATTGCCACATGTTTTTTGGGCCGTTTCTATAAGGTTAAATATAATTAACATGCTTTAAAAATGCATATTACGTCAAATTGCAGATGTATAGAATTCTCTAGCTGGAATGAGTTTTTAAAGATAATATAGTTTTGCCCTTTATTTTCTGAAAAGTGGTCTGAGGCCCAGTGAGATTATATGACTTATTAGTGAAAGATCCAGAATTAGGTCCCAGGTTTATGTTTTCCTTAACTCCCTTCATCACCGTTGTTCTGTAGCATCAGTTTACCTAAGGTAGAGCATGAAGGGAGTACCCTTCTCCTGCTGTGCATGGAAATGTAATTTGAACCACTTCATATGGGACTTTTGCATAATAATGAGTCATGTGACATTGACAGTTTAAGCCTTGAATTTAAGAAATCATTTCAATTACAGTGTAGTTCAGGAAGTAATTTTCTTCCAAAATAATTAAGATATTGACAGTGCAAAATAAGCTACGAGCTCTTAATAACAAGGTTAAATGAATGAATAGATACAAATTCTAAGGATCAACTCACAGCCAGTGGTACTGAGCCAGTTTTAACCTTGCCTTGATCATAATCTTCCTTCCCAATAAAGGCAAAAAATTGGGTCCAGTAGGAAACAAGCCTTTTTAAGGCAACCAGATACCCTAGGTAGAAAGGAAGCATGTACTGTATTTAAATACAACCAGCAAATGCATCTTCAGAGCTCTTTAAAATGCTGATGACATCACCTCTCATTTTCAGGCCAGTATTATGCAGACATCAGCTATAGCCAGATAGTTAAGAACTTGTCAAAATCCTTGTCAAAAATTCCCACCTTAAGATCTACTTGGCCCAAGTATACATTCATTCAAATGTCAATATAATACTTCATTTTGAAGTAACAATGTACTGTAAATGAAACATTTACCGATTCTAATTTCTAATATAGCACATAGCATTTCTTATATAAAATAAAATGAAGATCTTGAGTATTGAAATTTTCTTGTTCATTTTCCCTTTTTAGGAATTTTGAGAGTAAAACCAGTGTGGTATAAGCATCCATAATCTTTGTTTTTTGAGAACAGTTATATAATTACAGAAAAATGTGAAGATAGTACAGAAAATTCCTATATACGCTGAACCCAATTACCCCTATTATTGACAACTTACGTTAGTATGGTACATTTAGTTAATGAACCAATATTAATGCTTTATTATTATTATTATTATTATTATTGTAAACTTTTTTTTAAGTTCTGGAGTACATGTGCAGGATGTGCATGTTTGTTACATAGGTAAACATGTACCATGATGGTTTGCTGCACCTATCAACCCATCGCCTGGTATTAAGTCAGCATGCATTAGTTATTTCTCCTGATGCTCTCTGCCAACACCCCCAGCTCTCCCCCGACAGACCCCAGTGTGTGTTGTTCCTCCCCCTGTGTCCATGTGCTCACATTATTCAGCTCCCACTTATAAGTGAGAACATGCGCTGTTTGGTTTTCTGTTCCTGCGTTAGTTTGCTGAGGATAATGGCCTCCAGCTCCATCCATGTCCCTGCAAAAGCACATGATCTCATTCCTTTTTATAGCATCCACAATATTATAGAAGTAGCTTCTCAAATCCTTACTCATCTACTTGTTAGCACTGAGGTGGGTTGCAGTCGGAACAAAGAAAACACTTTGTTTGATACATAACACTTTTATTTAGTTTTCACAGGTAATCTGTCAGGATATCCCCATATGATAGATGAGGAAATGAAAGCAGAGAGAGTTTGAGTAATTTGTCCAAGAGAACAAGCAAAAAAACAAAAAAAAAGGTTGAGATTGAAAAAAAATTAGTCAAATGTCACACTAGTCACACTCTCAACCAGTGCATTAGCCTGTACACCTAGGAGATTAGGACAGTCTTCAAAGGAAGACAAATCTGAGGAACATGCATAACTATCTAGGCTAGTCCTTGGCAAGAGGCAGAAGAAAAATATGCACTCCTGTTCTCCTTTTTTGCTGGCTGATCTCTTTCTCTACTCGAAAGTAATTTCATAGCTCTAACCAACTTGCTAAAAAATCATCATCATCATCATCATCATCATCATCATCTTAAATGGACACAAGTGGACTTTGTATAATTAATTTAGACAACAGGAAAAATAAAAAGCAAACTAAATGTCACCTTACAATTCATCATGGATTAGGTTTGTTAAAATATTTTTATAATAAAACCTAGTATCTTAGGCTCAACAAATACAAATTGCTATAACTGACTCAGAGTTTACTTTAAAAAAAATTTTTGTGGCCAGCCCTGTAAGAAGGTAATAGTGTGGTTCAGCCCCAGACCTCAATAGGTTGTTATGCTCTGTACAATTTCTCAATATCTTTGCATTCATGGAATTCTAGTTGAATCAGAATCAATTAGAAAGATTCAGACAATAATAATAAATAGCTATTACAATTTAAAAGAGACTTGCAAGTTTTTTCATGATGAGAGTTTTACTTTTACTCATTGTAAAAGCAAGGTATGAGGATTGTTCAAAAGTTAAGCAATTCAAAAAGTAAAAAGAAGTAAAAATCAACTAAAAATCTCCCTAAGGAAAAATCATTGTTAACGTATTGATGAACACATTTCTGATTGTCTCTTCATACATTTATTTCACATATAGATGTGTGTGTATATATATACATATGAATGTATATATACACACTAACATACGAACACACTGTGAGATCATAAAATGCATGCTGACTTGTAATCAGTATCTTTTATTCATATATATGTCTTGGTTATTTTTCCGTAATGTTAAATATAATTCTAAGTCATCATTTTTACAGTTGCATTGCATGGATATACCATAATTTATTTTTCAAGCTCCTCCTCTTGCTAGAAATTTAGATTGTTTCTAAATTTTTCCATTAGAAACAATGTTGAATTGAACATTCTTGAATGATCTTTGGGAAGTTGTTGGTTTATCAGAAGATTTCTGATGAATATGTTACTTGGGCTTTATGGAAATAATTAACTTCAACATTCTCCACTGTCTCTGTTGAGTTAGCTCACACCAGTGGTCCTCAGGTACCCTGACTTTCTGGTTAAGATCCTGAGTTCTGTGAGTCTTGTAGCATTCTGGTTTAAATTGGAAGTGGAGATTCTAAGGGCCCTGCTCTAAGGAGCTCATGAGATCTTGTATAGAGTCCAAAGAAGGAAGATGATTCTAGACCCAAGGACTGGTTCCATGCAAAGTAAAGGCAAAGCAGAAAGCCTCAGTAGGTTAGCAGTATAGTTCTATAAACTTTTTGTAATTAATGCTTTTTAAATTGGCAACTAGTAAGCCTGACTCCCAAGAATTTCTGTTGCTTTCTGTAGCTTTTACCTATCTCTTATGACATCTGCCACCCACCAGTTCTCATTATCCTCTTTCTACCCCACTTGGCTTCTCCTTGCAGTATTCAAGCAATCGGGTATCTCAAACCCCTAACACATGGAGGTCCCTGGGAAGTGCCTAGGAAAATGTCAGTGAGGCTTTGGCTGTTCTCCCAAATCACATGCCTAGCATAAGTTAAGCTTAAAGGTAATAGAAATATTGTTCAGTTTATCTCACAGTCCATGAGTTAGTCGATTCCGTTAAACTCTGATTTGCAAAGTATCAATCACTATGCATTTAATTGGTTTTGTATTCAGCTGAAGGGAAGCAGCATATACTGGAAATAGCTTGGGCCAAAAAAAAACCTGAACATGAATCCATTTCTGCCACTTGATAGCTCTGTGACCTTGGGAAAGATAGGAATCATTTTTGGAAATCAGTTTGTTCCTCTGAAAAAGCAACATTTGATTTGCCCTATTCAGTAGAGATTGCTGGGTACAAGCAGAGTCCATCAATGAATGCCCATTTGGTGGTGCGTTTTCATTTAGGATCATAATAACTGTGGTATCTGGTATTATCCTCAGCTAGAACTAGGGCTCAGAGCAGTTAAGCAACTAGCCCGAGAGAGACTAGTTGCTTAGACTGAGAGGGACTAAGTGGAGTCAGAATTCAAGTCCAGACCTGTGACTATAAAGGCTGAATTCTTTCCTCCTACCCTGTGTACAAGTATAAAAAAAAAAAAATCTGTGTATCTGTGTTATCATCACTAAAGAGAATCATTTTTATAGTAGGCATTTTTGAACAACTGCACAACAGTCCTCACTAGTTTAACTGGGAATGACTCTGAAGAGGGAATATGACTTTACTTCTTCTTCTCTGAATTGTAGTACTCTAACATAGCTCATTTTTCATGCCATCTTCCCTAGCTTTCCAGATTTCTTTTAGAAGTGAGTTTTCACATTTGGTGTTTTATTTTGAGTTACTACTGAATTTATTTGTAGCACACTAATCTGTCATCTTTGAGTTTCACAGCCAGAGTACAGGGTCTTTGGCTGTTAAAAGCATTTTCAAATACCCATTTTTCCCTCTACCTGTCATACTGATTCACAATTGCTGGCAGCTAACCGAGGCCCATTTATTTGCAGTATCTTCATGCTCCCTCCTAAGGAACTTGCCACATGAATATCTTCGAAGATTGAACTCAATCTGTACATGTGTGCAGGAACAAGACACTTAAGACCTTCGCTATCCCTGCTGATGAAGCAGTAAATAATTAACGACTAAAGAGGGGACAGCCATACTTCAGCTGAAAAGCAGAAACAGCATGCCATGTTATTTCCCCAAGGTTACATTACTCCCAAATAATATGGGCTGTTTGGTATCATCTTGAGGATTCTGCTGCTTGAGAGCACTAGATGATAATGTCCTTACATTGCTTTTAAGTAATTAGCTCTATTACCTCTCTTGTTTTTGTTACAAGTCACCTTCTTGAAATTTCTTGTAAAACCATAAACAGCACCCTGTCTGAGTAAGGCATGTGGAAGATCCATGCCTCCTCTGGAGCCACTGGGAGCCATGAGGGCTGCAAGAGAGGCATGGCACATTGAAAGATATTAAGCCTCCAAGTCTTCCCAGTTATTAGAGAGTAAAGTTTGAGGTCAAAGGAACTAAAGCCATCATGCTTGTTTGAGAAGAAAAACAAACGGTTTTCAAAATCTCCTGAAAAAATCTTGTTACAATTTTTTTTCTCTTTAAACTGTAGGGAGGGAAAATTCTGCAAGGTTAAAAAGAAGAAATGAATACAGTCAGTACTGAAGAAATAACAGTCTGCAGTCTCAGCAGAGACTAGGGTCCACCACTCAAGCTAAAAATTAGAAATGTTAACAACAGGTGCTGGAGAGGATGTGGAGAAATAGGAACACTTTTACACTGTTGGTGGGACTGTAAACTAGTTCAACCATTGTGGAAGACAGTGTGGCGATTCCTCACAGATCTAGAACTAGAAATACCATTTGACCCAGCCATCCCATTACTGGGTATATACCTAAAGGATTATAAATCATGCTGCTATAAAGACACATGCACACGTATGTTTATTGCGGCACTATTCACAATAGCAAAGACTTGGAACCAACCCAAGTGTCCAACAATGATAGACTGGATTAAGAAAATGTGGCACATATACACCATGGAATACTATGCAGCCATAAAAAATGATGAGTTCATGTCCTTTGCAGGGACATGGATGAAGCTGGAAACCATCATTCTCAGCAAACTATCGCAAGGACCAAAAACCAAACACCGCATGTTCTCACTCATAGGTGGGAATTGAACAATGAGAACACATGGACACAGGAAGGGGAACATCACACACTGGGGACTGTTGTGGGGTGGGGGGAGGGGGAAGGGAAAGCATTAGGAGATATACCTAATACTAAATGACAAGTTAATGGGTGCAGCACACCAACATGGCACATGTATACATATGTAACAAACCTGCGCGTTGTACACACGTACCCTAGAACTTAAAGTATAATAATAATAAAATTTTAAAAAAAAGATAAAAAAAATTAGAAATGTTTGTGGATTAGAACTAAGGAGGAAGAATATAAAGGCCCATATAACCCTATTTTTGGCCATCTTTACTGAAATAAAATTGGAAAAGAAGTTTTTTTTCTACTCTTTTGACAGAAGAACTATAAAATGTATTCAAACACACTCTATGACATGAAATAATAAAACTAGAACTAAGTACATTTTCCCTCTTCTAATCCACACGTGAACACAATTAATTTGGAATCAAGTTAGTTAAAATTCAGCCAATTCAGAGCATGAGATTGGATGATAGCTGTGAGCCCTGGATGTTAAACGCAGCTCTACCAAGGATTTACTGTGTTTTGACTTGGGAGGTGGCTGAGGTTCATTTAAGTGCGCCATGTACCTGTTAATTTGGGGATAATAATGCACTCTTACAAGTCTATGGGCTTTTTCTTACTCTCTTCTCTCTTTCTTTAAGGTCCAGTTGAAAAGTGAAGAATCCAAAACGTTTGCAATGAAGATTCTCAAGAAACGTCACATTGTGGACACAAGACAGCAGGAGCACATCCGCTCAGAGAAGCAGATCATGCAGGGGGCTCATTCCGATTTCATAGTGAGGTAAAGGCTCCATGCCAGGGACAGACGTACCCAACTCCAAGTGACAAATCCACCACAAAACCCTCTGCCACTTGTGCTCACTGTTAACACATTTCGTATGCACAAAGAAACTTCTTTTTAATCTAATCTTAAGAAAGTTTTGTTTGATTTCTAAAAATAAAGTTCTGACTCTATTCTTTCTTTTAAAGAGAATTAGTGTCTGAAAACAATGTGTTTTCCCAAAGGAGGTACCAGAGTTTCTAACATTCCATTTTTATCTTTTTTTAAATCCCCAAACTCTACATAGACCTTTGATGCTTAAAAGACAAAATATCCAAAATCAAACTATTTAACCTTTAATTATCTGAATATTTTTTGAAGATCTAAAAAAATGAAATGACAGCTGACCATTCCACCTCAGTACTAATAAATGGATAATGGGGAGATTTTTATATGTGGAAGCAGCTTTTTGTAGTGAATTTTCCAGTGGCATTTACTGAAAACAAGATGTAACATGAATTTGAGCGAATAGCATATGAAATTTATACATGTCTGAATCTGTAAAGTTTAATCCACTTTATTCCCATTTTCACTGCATGTTGATGACCACTAAATGTTGCCCCAAGGGTCTATGCTCAAAACATTACCCAAATTGGAATGGAAAGAATCCCAAGAAACCCTCTTTGTCCATAATCATTATGATTAATCCATTTCAAGGGAGAGATTAGCGCCTTAGTTTCTTCTATTAAAATCCTATTCATGAGCCATTGGCTTCTTTTCCCCATGTGTGGGCTTAGATCTCTCTCATTCTGACAAAATTTTGAGCTTGGCAAATCAAAACTATAATCTGGGCCCCCCAAAATTGCACACTTGTAAAAGACAGTAATGTTTATAATCTTTGTTTTCTTGTTTGCAATTTACAGACTGTACAGAACATTTAAGGACAGCAAATATTTGTATATGTTGATGGAAGCTTGTCTAGGTGGAGAGCTCTGGACCATTCTCAGGGATAGGTAGGAGATTTAAGAAATTTCTATGATATCTCTAAAAACAGTTGCCCATGTTGGTCTATAAGAAGAGTTAATATGATAAAGTATAATAATCATATTTATAATTTACACATGCTTATATTTCAATATTTAAAGTAAGCACAGGGCATAACCCACTATACACATATGATTTACTGTACATATAACAAAACTCACTTTGTAACTAACAATACAGGCTTAGTCGATCATAAAAATGGTACATAGCAAAATATATACATGGCCTTAGTTTTGCATGAATGTTAGAATTAGCTCTGTAGCTGGAATTCAATTCATTGCTTTAGCAGAAAGAGAATTATAGTTATTTTATAATTATAATTTGAATTAACTATCAGTTTAATTGCTCTACTCTTTTTCCAGATAGGCAGTTTGCCTTTTGTGACATTGTGAATTTTTTCCAAAGTAATTTTTCCCTCTACCTTTACATGGCTCTTTGGTTTCAAAATTAACAAAAGTTTCCAGCCATCTCTTTATCCCTTGGCTAGTCTTAGGAAAAAGAAAAGAATCCACTTATAAGCAATATTTCATGTAAATTATCTGATTTAGATTTACCTTCTTACCCTTCCAGGGCAAGGAAAGTTTGTCTACATGGTGCTTGTTTGTTCTAATCATGCAAATTCATTGTCTTAATTTTCCATCTCATATTTAGATAACTAGCAAATTATCTAATTATCTTCTAATATAATTTATCCTATAAAATGTCTCAGGAGATCATTATCTACCCTGTGTTTTTTTAAAAACACACTTTTATTTTCCTATGAATAATCTTTTGATTATTTTCCATGAATGATTTATTGATCATACAAAAGTCATCTTTGTTCTTTTGAACACTCACATTTAGACATCTGTATTTTTCTTATTTGTTTGAGTCCTGCCTCCCAGACTCTCCTTCACAGGGTAGCATCCTTCTGAAACTTAGCTATAGGTAGCCCTGATGTATATAACCATGTAATGTTTTTATATTTGTTACTTTGCAGATACCCCAGAATAAAACAAGTGGTTCCTTATGAACTGTTGATTTAAATTCTCATTCCTAATGGTGTTCTTATGGTACCTTCATATCTTTGTACAACAGGCCCTTTCGTGTTATTCCCATGGCCTTTCTTATATATGCCAAATGGATTTCTTGTTACCACATTGTATCCTATTGCATCGGTATTTTATTTCAATTCTTAAATTTAAGGTTAAAAAAGCATAAAAGGGAATGTAATCATGTTGGCATTAGGCGATAAGGTTAACATCTATACTAAGCTATTATATCATAGTGTATATATTATGTATTATTGCTAGTTAATATGTACATAGAGATTATATACCAGGCATTGTGATAGAGGCTGGGGATCCAGTAATAAACAAAACAGATGGGGTCTCTCTCCTCAGAATGTATAGTTTGTGGCACAAAGTTAATATTTTAATCTGTGAGTTAACATTTGGCATATCTAATGTGTTTCTACTGTATTATATTTGACTTGATATTTCAATTCACTGATTTATTTGAAGTCTTCTACTTTTTTTTCTAATTAGAATAGAAGAAGATTTACAGGTGGAATTAAACATGAAAGCAATAATAAGCCACAAAGGGAGAGCCCAGCTATCCCTCTTATAGCTTATTATTTTTTTATTTTTTCATAAGTTATTGGGGTACAGGTCATATTTGGTTACGAGTAAGTTCTTTAGTGGTGATTTGTGAGATTTTGGTGTACCCATCACGCAAGCAGTATGTACTGCACCATATTTGTAGTCTTCTATCCCTCACCCCCCTCCGACTCTTCCCCCCAAATCCCCAAAGCCCATTGCATCATTCGTATGCCTTTGTATCCTCATAGCTTAGCTCCCACATATCAGTGAGAACATGTGATGTTTGGTTTTCCATTCTTGAATTACTTCATTTAGAATAATAGTCTCCAATTTCATCCAGTTCCCTGCAAATGCTGTTAATTCATTCCTTTTTATGGCTGTGTAGTATTCCATCATATATATACATATATATATATACATGCCATCATATATATATATATATACACACACACACATGCCATCATATATATATATGCCCTCATATATATATCACAGTTTCTTTATCCATTCATTGATTGATGGGCATTTGATTTGGTTCCATGATTTTGCAATTGTGAATTGTGCTTCTATAAACATGAGTATGCAAGTATCTTTTTTGAATAATGACTTCTTTTCATCTGGGTCAAATGGTAATTCTACTTTTAGTTCTTTAAGGAATCTCCACACTGTTTTCCATAGCAGCTGTACTAGTTTACATTCCCTCCAGTAGTGTAGAAGTGTTCCCTGTTCACTCCATCCACACCAGGATCTATTGGTTTTTTGATTTTTTGATTATGGCCATTCTTGCAGGAGGGAGGTGGTATCACCTTTTGGTTTTGATTTGCATTCCCCTGACCATTAGTGAAGTTGAGCATTTTTTCATACGTTTATTGGCCATTTGTATATCTTCTTTTGAGAATTGTCTATTCATGTTTTAGCCCACTTTTCATTGGATTATTTGTTTTTTTCTTACTGATTTGTTCGAGTTTGCTGGAGATTCTGGATATTAGTCCTTTGTCAGATGTATAGACTGTGAAGACTTTCTCCCACTCTGTGGGTTGTCTGTTTACTCTGTTGACTGTTCCTTTCGCCATGCAAAAGCTCATCAGTTAAACTAGGTCCCAGCTATTTATCTTTGTTTTCATTGCATTTGCTTTTGGGTTCTTGGTCATGAAATCTTTGCCTAAGCCAATGTCTAGAAGGGTTTTTCCAATGCTATCTTCTAGAATTTTAGTAGTTTCAGATCTTAGGTTTAAGTCCTTAATCCATCTTGTGTTGATTTTTGTACAAGGTGAGAGATGAGGATCCAGTTTCATTTTCCTACCTGTGGCTAGCCAATTATTCCAGCAGCATTTGTTGAAAGAGTGTCCTTTCCCCATTTTATGTTTTTGTTTGCTTTGTCAAAGATCAGTTGGCTGTAAGTATTTGGGTTCATTTCTGGGTTCTCTATTCTGTTCCATTGGTCTATGTTCCTATTTTTGTACCAGTGCTATGCTGTTTTGGTGACTATGGTCTTATAGTATGGTTTGAAATCAGTTAGTGTGATGTCTCCAGATTTGTTCTTTTTGCTTAATCTTGCTTTGGCTATGTGGGCTCTTTTATGATCCCATATGAATTTTAGAATTTTTTTTCTAATTCTGTGAAGAATGATGGTGGTATTTTGATAGGGATTGCATTGAATTTGGATTGCTTTGACAGTATAGTCATTTTCACAATATTGATTCTACCCACACATGAGCATGGGATGTTTGTGTCATTTGTGTCATCTATGACTTCTTTCAGCAGTGTTTTGTAGTTTTTCTGGTAGAGGTCTTTCAACTTCTTGGTTAGGTATTTTCCGAAGTTTTTGGTTTTTTGTTTGTTTGTTTGCAGCTATTGTAAAAGGGGTTGAGTTCTTGATTTGATTCTCCACTTGGTCACCATTGGTGTATAGAAGAGCTACTGATTCTTGTACATTAATCTTGTATCCAGAAACTTTGCTGAATTCTGTTATCAGTTCTAGGAGCTTCCTGGAAGAGTCCTTAGGGTTTGCCAGGAAAACGGTTATATCGTCAGCAAACAGTGACAGTTTGACTTCCCCTTTACCGATTTGGATGCCCTTTATTTCTTTCTCTTCTCTGATTGCTCTGGCTAGGACTTCCAGTACTGCGTTGAAGAGGAGTGGTGAGAGTGGGCATCCTTATTTTGTTCCAGTTCTCAGAGGGAATGCTTTCAACTTTTCTCCATTCAGTATTATGTTGGCTGTGCCTCCCTCAATTTACAATTGGCAATAAATCTGCACAGATTGCAACATACTTCAGGTTCATACACTCACTGATTGTTGTTACTCGTCAATGAAAAAGGTGAAATATTTTGATGAGAGATGCTTAGCTCCTGTTACATTCTGATATCCAAGAACTCAGTTTATGACAAGTTGACTAAACATTGTGATTAAATTTTAATTTGAGTCTATCAATATTCATAAATAACCTTCTATTTCTCTCAAATTGTCATCTAACTGCCATCTAGCTTAAAACAACCACCCATCCCCAAAGAGGGCATAAGGGCCTTATCTCTCACTGGTTTTAATTGAAATGACACAGCTGTCAAGGCATAATTCATTATTTCAAAGAGCTATATAAGGCAAGTGATTTATTTCTTTAAGTAACTATCTAAACTATTGATGAAACAGGGTTTCTTTTGTTTTAAATCAAATTTACATTGTCATTTCCAATTCTAATAGTAATTTTTCATTGTGAGTCACCTCAGTGTTATGCTTTGTGACTGCTTTCAAGATGTCTATTTTAAAATCCACAAGTTATCTACATCACATGTTTAGTGATGGGACAGTGTGGTGCTGGTAAACATTTGTGTGCATGCATTGTATAGATTTATCAAAGTTTGAGACAAGGTTTTCATTTAATTTTCAAAATCGGTTACAAATATATTTATATGTGAAAGATACTCAATATAGATGTGTTGAAGGAATGGAAACTAGATTTCTAAAACCCTCCACATTCCAAAATGACTCAAAACCAGAGAAAACTGGAAACAAATAGAGTTGTCAAGAACTGAGGACCCTAAGATGTACAATTTGTGGTCTGTTTGCTTCGTGGTGAAAAAGGGAGAGCTTTGATTGGCAGGCAATAAAAGGGTAATTTTGGCCCATGTGAGAAGCATGGGGAAAGTGAAAAGAACAGAGATTAGCAAAGGATTCTTCAGAGTTGATTTGTGGCAGTTAGCCTTGGCAGTCAGAAGCACTTAAATAACAGAGAGGATTGGTGTTCCAAACCCCCAACCTCCACCCTGAAAATACTTCATCCCTATTCTATACTATGTTAGTTAATTTTACTATATTAAGACATAGTAGCTAAAAAATAGTTTTCTGGTGCTCAATCATAGTGGCTACTATTACATTTAGTGAGCACAAGTTGTGTACCAGGCACTTATTTTCAGTACATGCATTATTAATTCTTTGGATCTTCACAACAACCCAGTGAGATAGTTACTGTTATTAGCCCCATTTTGCACATGAGAACACAGAAACACAGAGACATATAGTTAATTGCTCAAGAACAAACAGTAAATGGAGTCTGGAGTTGAGCCCAGGATTCTTGCTTCAGGGTCCATATTCTAACATATAGCCTCCTCCCATGAATTTGAGTTTGTATTAGCATTTTTCCATCTTTCTGCTAATGACCAGCTTATTCAGAATATAAGTATAATATTCTGCAGACATTTCATGAGAAATTGATCTCTCACCTAAGCATTTACTCTCATTACAACATTAACAATGCATTTGTCCATTTGATTCCATTACCAATTGACTATTAAGGAAGCAGAGGTATGTTGCCCAGAGTCACAACTGTAGAAATAATCTCCTCTTCTACTAACAGTAATCAAGCATTTGTAAGCTTTCAAAAAGGCCCACTCAAATCACAATTAGACAGTCCTGATGTAAATGAGTAAACAGGCAACCTACAGAATGGGAGAAAATTTTTGCAATCTATCCATCTGACAAAGGGCTAATATCCAGAATCTACAAGGAACTTAAGCAAATTTACAAGAAAAAAAACAGACAACCCTATCAAAAAGTGGGCAAAGGATATGAACAGACACTTCTCAAAAGAAGACATTTATGCAGCCAACAGACACATGAAAAAATGCTCATCATCACTGGTCATTAGAGAAATGCAAATCAAAACCATAATTAGATACCATCTCATGCCAGTTAGAATGACGATCATTAAAAGTCAGGAAACAACAGATGCTGGAGAGGATGTGGAGAAATAGGAATGCTTTTACACTGTTGGTGGAAGTGTACATTAATTCAACCATTGTGGACAGTATGACAATTCCTCAAGGATCTAGAACCAGAATTATCATTTGACCCAGCAATCCCATTACTGGGTATATACCCAAAGATTATAAATCATTCTACTTAAAGACACATGCACATGTATGTTTATTGCAGCACTATTCACAATAGCAAAGACTTGGACCCAACCCAAATGCCCACAATGACAGACAGGATAAAGAAAATGTGGCACATATACACCATGGAATACTATGCAGCCATAAAAAAGAATGAGTTTGGCTGGGCATGGTGGCTCACGCCTGTAATCCTAGCACTTTGGGAGGCCAAGGCAGGTGGATCATGAGGTCAGGAGGTCGAACCCCCATCTCTACTAAACTTAAAAAAATTACATGGGCATGGTGGTGCGTGCCTGTAGTCCCAGCTACTCGGGAGGCTGAGGCAGGAGGATCACTTGAACCCAGGAGGCTGAGGTTGCAGTGAACCGAGATTGCACCACTGCACTCCAGCCTGGGTGACAGAGTGAGACTCCATCTCAAAAAAAAAAAAAAAAGAACAAGATATATAGTTTGAAATAAAATAAGACCATTCCCTTTACTCTTTCATTTTGTTTTGTTTTGCTTTGCAATGCTCTCCATTGAGAAGGGATTTAATTCATAGATAGCAGTGTAGCTAAAGCTATATATTAATTATATATACACAGATGCTTACTCTTTAAGGTAAATAATCTCTTCAAATGAAAGAAACATGCTACTCTTGACAGGTAAACATACTTAATTAAGGGCGAAGAAGAAAGGACCTTCAAGGCAATACTGTAATCCCTTTGGAACTACATACAATTATAAAATTTTAACTCTGCCAAAGATATCTCCAAGTCAGAGGAAAATTGTAGCATGAAGTATATCATTTGTTTCCTCATATGGATGCAGTTCTCAAACTTTCTCTTGTGCTCATAAATTCACAATTGTTCCATTCAGATATTATTCAAGGGAGATTCAGGAGTCATGGTAATTATAGTTAAGATTCTAGAATCTAGAGGAATAGATATCATTATGCCTATAATTAATTATGTTTCAGAAGAATGATATTTTTCTTAGGAAAAGCTGGTTATTTCAGTGAAAACTCAAGTGATATTAGTAGCTGAAATGAAGACATTCTCTTTCTGGAAGACACTACCTATTTCTGAAAGCCTGAAAAGTGGCTGCTTTAGCCTTGATTCACTTATGAATTTTGTAAAAATGTAACCATATTCCACTGCCCAGTTTGTTAAACTTTACTCCACAATTTTGAAAAAAAAATAAGTGTCACCAAAATGCAAACAGGCATCAGAGACTCATGAAAGCAAGCTCTGAAGCTATCATTTGTTGTACACTGTCTATTAATAAAATCACTTGTGTGCTTGTCACTCATGTTATATCTCAACCACCTCAGGCGCTGATGTTCACACTAATATTTTTGAATTATGAAATGAAATTATTAAATTGTGCTTACTACTCGGGAAAGAAAAAAAAAGTACATGGTTTATCTCTTTAAGAAGTACCATGAAAAAAAAAAAGAAAAATAGTTAAAGTTAAGACGTTCTGCCCTAGAACAAAGGGTTTAACCTTAGATGCCAAGGTTTTTTCTAAATTATTTCATTCAATCAATCAATCAACATATATATGCCCATATATCATATATATGAGACAGAGAGAGCCTTCTTGCTAAACATAATAATCAAGATTACTAATAAACATTCCCTTCTAGTTACTTTTTTCTTTGTAATTGTCTTTTAGTCCATCTTTTCCCCTTAATAAGAATTCAGTAGTATAGGAAATAGATATTGTTTGTTTTGGATGCAGAAGTTTCAAAAACAGAAGAGTACTTAGCTTGCATTATGATTGCATCAGTAGCATTATAACTTATTTCCGGAGTGGTTCTTTGAAAACAGTTGCTTTTATTCAGACTCTCATGAACCATATCTGCATTATTTAGAAAGATTAAAAAACAAGCCCTCTAAGAATAAATATGAATAAACCCATAAACTTCTCCTTTAAAAAACAAATGCTTGGTAGGCAAGCTCTAAAATAGGATTATTTTTCTCTCCTGCCTACTTCTGTAAGTCTGTGCCTTTTTCGATTGTAGTGGGCTGTTGAGAGGAAGACACTAAGTACATGAAATGTGTTGTGTTGAACTATTCTTTCAGCCCTTTCAGTAAGTGAGATTTAACTATTCCATTCATAAAGACAGAGAATTCCTTAACTTGATCCTTGAATGCTTCAGAAAACCCAATGTAATGGCAATCATGTAACATTTAGCTAGCAGGACAGTGATCTCTGGGTTAAATTTTGGCAAAGGAATATAGTGAAATGAGAAAAAAAAAATAAAGCCATATTACAGAAATTAATTTTTTATACAATTTTCATTCCATTTCTGCACCTCAGAGGTTCGTTTGAAGATTCTACAACCAGATTTTACACAGCATGTGTGGTAGAAGCTTTTGCCTATCTGCATTCCAAAGGAATCATTTACAGGGACCTCAAGCCAGAAAATCTCATCCTAGATCACCGAGGTTATGCCAAACTGGTCAGTGCATTTCATACGTGCTTTCTGCCCTGCAGATTAAAAATATTTGTTTATAAAACTGTGTTCATTTGCTAATATGAAATCTGAGTTTTCCTTTTCAATGTTGTAACTTTCTTAAAAGCAGATTTTAGCATTACACTTTTCAACTGAATGTTCTTTCAAATGATGCATCAGTTATGAAAAATTAAGTTGGCTAAGTTTGAATTAACAATACTCTGGCAAAAGATGCTTTTATAAGCATGAGAAAACACACTTGCTGGCATGTGTTTACATGCCCAGAAGTCCTTTTCTCCAGTCAGCTTTTTGCCATTCATAAGCAATGGGTTTTTATATTATGGAAAACCATAAATCATTTTAATATTTTAGATTTAAGAATAATGCTAATGGAAAAAAATGTGCTTTACAGGCAATGCTAGCCAGGTTATGTAATAGTAATAATAATAATGGTCAAAAGCTGTAAAGATTTACCATAGAAGAGAAGTTCTTTTATTTACAAATGCACAACTTTTGTTGGATCTGTTAACAGCTTGATTCCATTTTTAAAGTTTTCAGAATTGTTATTCAGCATGTGGTTTTTAGAGAAATCAAATCAGTGGCAGTTTTTTATTTGTAGTTTCAACCAAATCGTTTTAGAAAAAATATATTTTCTGCAGTCGACACTCTTCCTTCAAAAGAGTTCCAGAAAAATGAAGAATACATTATAATTTTATTTCTGTTTATGCTTACTAAGGGCAGAGTCATTGGTCCCAAAACTATCTTACTCACTTCCTGCAAACATAAAATAGCTTTTCAAATAATTAATACTAAATGAATTGTCGCCTTCATTAAATCCAGCAGAAATCATGTATATTCTGGGAAAGATGTTAAGTAGGCCCAACTGGTCGTTAACAATTTTTAGGTACAGAAGAGATTCTGTGTTTACACTCCAACCTCCATTAGCATAAAAGAAGAAAAAATGAAAACTATATTCGGAAAGGAAGATTTACCTTTATTTTTAATGATGTGAATTTTATGCTATACTCAGGTGTCAACTTTTGCCATTAAAACTGAGGTGCATCAGGGAGACTGTCTTTGCAATATAGACTATTCTTTTTGGAAGACAGAACTATAAAAACATACATGTTTTTAAATTATTATCATCATCAGTGTGCTTCAAAATAACTTATTACTTTAAAACTTAATCATAAGGAGCTTAAGTATCTTGTTTTTCTCTCTTTGTAAGGTTGATTTTGGCTTTGCAAAGAAAATAGGATTTGGAAAGAAAACATGGACTTTTTGTGGGACTCCAGAGTATGTAGCCCCAGAGATCATCCTGAACAAAGGCCATGACATTTCAGCCGACTACTGGTCACTGGGAATCCTAATGTATGAACTCCTGACTGGCAGGTATGGATATTGATAGGGAACTGCTGATAAAAATAGACCAGCATGCAGCTACACACTCCTGCTTTTGTCACTTGGATTAGACCATCTTAAAGTACTTTTCACCATATCTTGGTACCACAGTTTAATTAGTTATACAGATGACCAGGAATTCATAATGTAAGGTATAAAATAGTCCAGGCTAGGGCAACCACCTGAACACTAACTTTTGGTCTCATTATTGCTACTTCTTTTTTACATATGTGAATGTGGAAGGATATAATGTCCTTCTGTGAGCTATCTTAGCCCAGTCATTTAGCCAGCAATGAAACAGGGGAGATGATAATCATATAAAAATATCTAGGGTCAATTTTCTATAGAAGTAAGAGGACCTGTTAGCAACTGTTATATCTAAATGAAAGGTGACTGCTTTGTACATCTTTCCTGTAATGTTATTATCATCAACTCAAATAGGCACTAGGGACACCACAAGGTATAAAACAAACTTTAAGATCCTCAAGGACCCATATTAAAAGAACAACAAATACACTACCATGACATGTGCTAAAACAGTGAGTGACAGGGGTGTTATGACCTACAGATTTCAGGACAGGGATGGGTTCGTAAAGAGGCTTTTGAAGAATGAATATAAGGCAGCTGTGTCTTGAATGAAGAGTAGGACTTAGATATAGAGAGCAAGAAAAGGGTATTCCAGGCAAATAGGCATGGCTTAAAGAGAAAGGCAATAATCGTCACAGACATGGAGAAGGTTCATGTAAAAAAAACAGGAACAGTCATCTTTTGACGATCATGATTGCTGCACTTGAGTGTTTGGACTCCATCTACAGAGGGAATCATTGAGATTTTCTGACAAAGGTTGAGTGATGTGTGTTGTGGTATTTAAGGAAAAACAAGTTGGCAGTAATAAGCAAATTGGAAGAGGAATAGGAAGCTAGTTTGAAGATTGTTGCAGTAATTTAGTTCTAGGACACTGAGAGCCTAGAGTAGGGCAAGGGCAATGGAAAAAAAGAGTAATTGTGAGGCAGGATGTGAAGAATTACTTAAGAGGACTTAGTCACTACAGTGAACATGAGAGGAAGACTGAGGACTTTGAGCACAGGGTACTCTGTGAGGATTCAGTGCATACATGAAACACTTAGAAGAGTGTTTCGCACATAGTAAGCATTCCATGAATGTTAGCAGCTGCTACTACTACAACAACGACAGTCATTGCCAGAAATAGTTGTGTTTTGATTTTATTTTTATTTATGGGTATTTTACATTATTACCCATAAAGTTTCTCTATTGACTTCAAATAAATTATGTGTGACATAATCCAATTTTGTTCAGTGTGGATTGTTCAATTTTGATCTTGTGGATGGAGGTAAATTATTTTAAAAGTATGACCAATTAAGTAGACCTGTAAAGATATGAAAAATTTGGACAAAGTAGAAGGTTAAATTTAACATATGTGTGTGGATGGATAGATAGGTAAATAGGCAGAGAGATAGATAAAAAGGTAATCTTTCTAGTGTGCTTAGAATTGCTATAAGAACCAATTATATAATAAATAGAAGAAAACTAAATATTAACTATTTTTGAGGAAGTAAAATATTCACCTATAATAACTAGACTAAAATATTAAACATGACAACTTATATTTCTCCTTAAATGTTTAGACATTTCTCTACAATCATTGTTTATTCATTAAGTAATAAGGTGAAAATGATTAAAACCTTAATCTTAAAAACTGGCATATACTAAACTGTAAGAAATAATTAATAACAGAAAAACCTTTAATCCTTTAAAGTAGAAATTGCACAGGTTACAATATCTGACTGGAATATAATAAAACTTGGAATTAATAACAAAGATTTAAAATAAAAAGTCTAAATACTTGAAAATTTAAAAAGCATTTTTCTAAATAACCTCAAGGACATAGAAATTACAGAATAGCAGAGCAGCAATAAAAATAAAGCACTATAAGTCACAATTTATGTTGTATTTTCAAAACCAAACTTAATTTTTTTACCATAAATATATATATCGAAACATTATGATTAAACATACCTAAACTTAATATTCATTTCAAGAAATAACAAGACAGAAAGAATTTTGGTCAAAGACAACAGCATTAAAAAAATCTTTACTTTTCCTTTTCTACCCAAAGAGATGATGGTGGTGGTAAGAGACGGTGGCCAGGGGTGGGGGTGGGAGAAGGCAAGAATAAAACAAGTAGGATGATCTTTAGTTACAAATAAAGTTCCACAAAACACACCTGCCAAACACTATGAAGTATGGCATGTGACTAGGAATGATGCTTGGACCACAAGCATGACTCCAAAGTATTTTGGTCCTGAATGTCATATCTAATGATCTTCGATAGTAATAATGACATTTAGAGGACTGGCTGGACCTTGAAAAAGCAAAGACTGTTCATGCAGAGACCTAATTAAGCACTACAGAATGAAAGAGGAACTGAGGTGAAGGAAGATTCATACAAATGTACCAATTCTGCCTTTTAAGGCTTATAATGTTGGTCAGTGAAGCAGGGAGTGAAAAGGGGGAGAGAGGCAGTGATTAATGATTTCAGAGAATGTGGTGGGGCTTTGTATGAGCCACATGACCTCCCTGAATGTTTTAAATTGAGGGCAAAGGAAATAAATGATCTGGTTATAAGGCAACAAACAGTAGTGAAGGCTGGTGAATTTCTCATTGCTTCCTTCCCTCCAACTTTCCCTGTTCTATTCTTCATGGTAGGCGGCCCAATCTAAGGATAAGTAATGGTCAGAAAGGGTCCCAGGGAAGCCAGTCCCTGCCCCTCTTACAACCCCAGCCCCCTTCCATGCATACACACCAACTCCTTTCTTACTGATTTTGCTCAAGGATCCATCTCCCCCACCAACTTAGGAAAAGATGAATTTATCTCCAGTTTTAGGTTTTGATTCAGCTCGTCTATTCCAGTCACATGGCATTCCTCTAGTGATTGGCATTTATTGGACTGGGTACATAAATTAGAGGAATAATTTTAAAATACATTATTGGAGGAGAATTCTTTTTTCCTACAGTAGCTACTCAGTAAATAATTACTGAATGAATATAAGTCCTTATTTCCACTGGTAGACTTCCTATAACTATGAGGGGAAACAGCCATGATGAAACTAATAGTGACTATGGCAGAATGAAAAGCTGGAACCACTGATCCTACCAGTCTAGAATTTGCCCTACCTCTGGAAAGTGCTTTTGTGAGTTCAATGTTTTTCTTATTTTAATCAGTTTGAGCTGATGTTTTCCATTTATGTCAGCTGAAAGATGCAAAAGTAAAAGAAAGCTAAAGAACACACAAGAAAAATGAATCAAGGAAATATAGGAGGAAGTGTTTAGATAAACTCTTATCTATAATTTCTTTGAGGCTATCAAAAGCATGATCTCCCTAAAAAGTAACCTCTAAGATATTTGCAAGTGTTCATAAATGAGAAGACAAGTAACTAGCAGAGCTCAGGACCATTACAGAACTGAAAGTCATGCTGTAAGTAAGAGAAAATAAAATAGTAACAATTAAAAATGCAGCAAGGGAGATAGTAGACAGGCTTGGAAAATATAATGAAAAAAGAAAAAATACATAGATATGATTTCAGAAAGAGAATCTATTAGTCAAAGGAAATAGAAAACACATCAATTATGTGTATGAATATAATATTACAAACAGGAGAAAAAACATCTTTAATTACATAATAAAAATCCATGGCATAAAGAATTGACTCAGTATATCCTTTTGATCTGCAGTGACCATGGAGAAACTGATTCAGAATAATATCACCACAGTATTTCCATGTGGTGAATTAATGAATTAAATTCATTAATAAGGAATAGTCTTATTGGCATCAAAGCCATAAAAACACGGCATGTGTGGTATTGGGAGTGAAGACAGTTAAAGTTCCAGCTGGCCTCAACCTTCTCTACAGCATCTTTAATGCCAAAAGATAGTATATCAAGAACTACGTAGTTCTGAGGGTCAGAGAAGGTATAACCCAAGTAATTTATACTGAGTTAAGTTCTTCTTCAAATTCAAACACGACATATAAAGTGTGGACCCCAGGCCTTTCTCAAAAACACTACTATTCAATCAAGCCCACAAAAAGATGAATCAAAATAAAGCATTCAGGAATAGAAAAACTAGTAAAAAGATTGATGAGCTTTGGGTCTAATTAATTAGAACTTAGATCAAATAATTTAAATTTGGGTAATTGAACAGAATGTAAATATTGTAGTCTTTGGCAATCTTAAAATAACACTAAAACCAACAAAAATTAAGGTGGGAGGTAAAGCAGGTATAACTATAGGTATACTTATTTCTCATCATTAATAATTAGTAATCTTACATATATTTTATAGTTAAAACATGTCATTACAGAAGAGAAATCTCTAAATTCAGTTTGATTTTTTTTTTAATTTTAGAGAAATATTTTAGGAATTAATATTGGTTAAGAAGCACACATATCTGAAATTTAGCATTTCTCTCCATTTTACTCCTCAGTTTAGCTAAAGTAAAATTAAATCGAATACTTCTAAATTTAAAAATATGCATAATATAATCCTGTGTGTCTACAATCTACATATAGAAGTCTATGAAATTATGTTCATCAAATGTAGAGCATTCTGAATATTTTGAGGTTTTGGATGACTTTCTTCTAAATAATTTTGTTTTATATATTGAATGAATATTAGACTAACATGCATCACATAAAAACCACAAATACTATATTTAATAATTGATTTTAGTTTTCTAAGATAAGCAACTAAATATAAAAGCAAAATAAATATAAAAGCAAAACTATAAATTAGAAATCATTGCCAAGATGTGGCTCCTCCTCATTTTTTAAAGTAAAAAATGAAAACTGGCATGTTAAGAGATTAAAAAGAATATTCAATCATAGAATCAACTAAAGATAAAATTTTAAATTCTAAGAGAATACTAAATAGATTTGCATGTTTATACATTTTTCAAGTGATTTAAAATTGATAGGCAATTACTAGCTAATGACATATTAAAGTAAATAGAAAGCATTTTTCACAGAAAATCAAAGCAGAATCCATCACAGCCCTTAACAGGCAAATCTACTACTCCTTACTTTAAATTACTCATTAGCCTGCTTGATAAAAAAGAAATAGTTTGAACTGCTCTTAATAAACATGAAAGGCAAAAAAAATAATAATTCAGATTTCTTCCCCAAAGACACACAAAACCTGTATTAAAGAGAGTAATTAATTTCCAAAGAAATCATTCGTCAAGGTGTATCATCATCTCCCCTCTGAATTGTGAGAAATTTGAAGGAAAGACCTGACTTTAGTCATCTTTGTACTCACTGAAGCTGCCACAAACCACACTTCAAGGATGGATCAGTTAAAAAAAAAAAAAAAAAAAAAAATCAACAGATCTGGCTCATGAGGGCTGGGGTATTACATCCTTGCTAGCAAAGAGGATGCCTAGTGTTAAATTATCTAATGAGGTCCTCTGAGCAGAGAGAAAAGGATAGGAGGAGTACTATTCTATAGAAACATTAGAGCAATAAATATTTATTGCCTCCTTAGTATGTACATGCTGCAAACTCTACTCAACTCTGGGAATACCAGCAGAAAACAAACTCTTCTGGAAGGGAAGACAGACATAAAACAATCACACAAATGAAAAGATAATTACAAAGTACAATAAGTGGCATAAGGGTGCTATAAAAGTGTAACAGGGACTCTAATTTAGATTAAACTTTAAACTAGAGCATGAAATTAGATTGCTAGGTTACGTGGGTTGATATAGGTTATGTAATTGGTTGTAATAGGTTGACCAGAGTAGGCCTTTTGGAGGAAACAGCATAACACTTATACTGAAACTTGATAAAGTGAGGCATTGGCCAGATAAGTATGGGAAGAACCTTCCAGACCAAATAAGTAACACCATGAGGTAGGAAAGTGCTCGGCATTTCAGTGGAACAGAGAGAAGGCTATTGTTTCTGGATCCCAGTGAGTGAGGGTGGTAATGGCATGAGGTGGGGTAGTATCGTTGGTGTTCCTGCGGCCCCTCCTAATGATTTTGGACTTCATCTCAAGTATAATCAATGAGTCAGTAAGTGTGGAAAAGGTCAGAGAGTAGAAGAAGCATCTTGAATGACCAAGGACAGCATGAGGGCTTAGACTCCAGCACTTAAAAGAAAGCAAGAGAAGAGCAGATAAACTTGACCCATTTCTGGTTTCACTAAGTGATTTACTTGGAAGGGCTTCCACACTGTTTTGCTATTAATCTATTTTCATTCCATTGTCACTATTAATCTAAGCCCCCAAATATGAATTGATGTCATCTGTGGAGTTTATAGCAATTCAAGTGTTCTCATGTAGAAAATAAAAGTAATATCTCTTGTCGTGTCTCTCATTCTTGCAGCCCACCTTTCTCAGGCCCAGATCCTATGAAAACCTATAACATCATATTGAGGGGGATTGACATGATAGAATTTCCAAAGAAGATTGCCAAAAATGCTGCTAATTTAATTAAAAAACTATGCAGGTAAGTATTTCAACCACATTATTTTTGAAAACATCATAATGTGAAAAAATTAGATTTAATAAAACCATTATTTTATTTTTAGGGACAATCCATCAGAAAGATTAGGGAATTTGAAAAATGGAGTAAAAGACATTCAAAAGCACAAGTAAGTGTTCTTTCTGCAGAGTTCTGAACACGTGACATCATTTCCCCAGGGTGTTGCTTTTTAAGTTATTGGTGTAAAACTAGTATAATTAGCCTATAGGAACATCCAAAGACAGCGTATAAACTAGTAAGGCTTTTAAATGCCTTTCTAGTTGTGATTATGAAACCTTATTTATATTTATCTGACAACCCTGTAACATAAGAAGCTGAACTCAGTTTCTTACAACTCATACCAACTAGCATTTTTTTCCCCTCTGGCACAAAGGGGAAATGTGTATTTTAAATTTGGGGATTCTATTCTCTACCACAGAATTACAAATAAAAGTCCCCTACTGTATCTTACCTGATTTCCTAAAGACAAAATATATTTTTCCAAGCATTTCCTAATTAGATGTTATAACAGGAGAAAAACATAAGTACAGAATACAGTGTTTTTTAAACAATAGCAACATCTTAAATATCAGACCTTCCCTATGTTGATTGGATGTTCTAAAGCTAAACTAATTGGGTTTTCTCTATTTGTTTGTGTAACACTGACAGGAAATTCACATCCTTATCAAAGAAACATGTTTACTAAAATATCTCTGAATATCTGAAAAGCCTGCTAAGAATTTGTTGTAAGCATTTGCTAATGCTGAAACCCTTCAAAGACAAAAGAAAACAAACAAGCAAAAACTTTAGTCTTTTTTGGTTCTTATTTTCACAGAAAAACTGTACACAAAATATCTTTATTCTTCATTAAAAAAGGGAAAAAAAGAAGAAAATGGGACATGTAGAGACTATGACAATGATGTGAAAAGGTTAATTAGCTGACACTGTGCACTGAATCAGTGGCAAAAATGGAAAGTTAATTTTCTATCCTGACTTTTCATGCCCTGGTTCTACCTCCTTAAAATAAAATATCCTGTAAGGCACAGGGCCAGACACATTATGACATGTATTAAATTTTAATTATAGTGTAGGAACAAGGTCATAGAGACATTATGACTGAATTACAAGGAATAAGTGTTGCATGTTAATTGGTGTTTAAAATTTGACAGTTATACTTTTAAAAATATGTATTTCATAAAATAAACTATTAGGAAAACATATGCAATTAAATAGAAAACATTTTTGTCACATGAAAATGTTTGCCTAACTGCTTCCCATTAGCCATGGACATTGTATACACTGCAATGAGAAGCTTTTAGCTGACACAAAATGTTTTTATCAACGTTTTTTCCTTTTCTAGATGGTTTGAGGGCTTTAACTGGGAAGGCTTAAGAAAAGGTACCTTGACACCTCCTATAATACCAAGTGTAAGTAGACTTTCCAGCTTATAATTGTGTGACATAATTGATGGTGTTTATGTCAGTCAACAATGATCTGTTATTTTTAAAGTTTAATCCTATGATTAAGTTAAACAAACTCTAGGAAAAATGTCACATTAAAATAATGACATATTCTAAAATCCAAACTTGAAAGCAGATAAATTTGGGGATAGTCACTGTAAATGTGTTTTACTCTTCTCTTTTTTAACTATTCATTTGATTCAAGTTTCCCTCATTTATGAACATAAGTTAATTTTTAGCATGGGAAATGTTCAAAATATAGAAATGCAGACAAAAATATATAGGTGAGAGGATCACTTGAGGCCAGGAGTTCAAGAGTTCAAGACCAGCCAGCCTGGACAACATAGTGAGACTCTGTCTCTACAAAAAAAGAAAAGAAAATACTAGCCAGGTGTGCTGATGTGCACCTATAGTCCTAACTACTCAAAAGTCTGGAGCAGGAGGATCACTTGAGCCCAGGAATTTGAGCTTACAGTGAGCTGTGATTGTACCACTATACTTCAGCTTGGGTGACAGAGTGGAAAGACCCTGTCTCTAAAAAAAGAAATAAAATAACACTTTTTCAAAGAGTCTTTACATGATCACTCTTTTTTTTTTTTTTTTTTAATTTTTTTTTTGAGATGGAGTCTTAATCTGTCACCCAGGCTGGAATGCAGTGGCGTGATCTCGGCTTACTGCAACCCCTGCATCCCAGGTTCAAGCAATTCTCCTGCCTCAGTCTCCTGAGTAGCTGGGATTGTAGGCAAGTGCCACCACTCCCAGCTAATTTTGGTATTTTTAGTAGAGACACAGTTTCACCATGTTGGCCAGGCTGGTCTTGAATTCCTGACCTCAAGTGATCCTCCCACCTCGGCCTCCCAAGGGTTGGGATTACAGACGTGAGCACCGCGCTGGGCCTACGTGATCACTCTTTTATTTTTTTATTTTTTTATTTTTTTATTATTATTATACTTTAAGTTTTAGGGTACATGTGCACAATGTGCAGGTTAGTTACATATGTATACATGTGCCATGCTGGTGTGCTGCACCCATTAACTTGTCATTTAGCATTAGGTGTATCTCCTAAAGCTATCCCTCCCCCCTCCCCCCACCCCACAACAGTCCCCAGAGTGTGATGGTCCCCTTCCTGTGTTCATGTGTTCTCATTGTTCAGTTCCCACCTATGAGTGAGAATATGCGGTGTTTGGTTTTTTGTTCTTGCGATAGTTTACTGAGAAATGATTTCCAATTTCATCCACGTCCCTACAAAGGACATGAACTCATCATTTTTATGGCTGCATAGTATTCCATGGTGTATACGTGCCACATTTTCTTAATCCAGTCTATCATTCTTGGACATTTGGGTTAGTTCCAAGTCTTTGCTATTGTGAATAGTGCCGCAATAAACATACGTGTGCATGTGTCTTTATAGCAGCATGATTTATAGTCATTTGGGTATATACCCAGTAATGGGATGGCTGGGTCAAATGGTATTTCTAGTTCTAGATCCCTGAGGAATCGCCACACTGACTTCCACAATGGTTTAACTAGTTTACAGTCCCACCAACAGTGTAAAAGTGTTCCTATTTCTCCACATCCTCTCCAGCACCTGTTGTTTCCTGACTTTTTAATGATCGCCATTCTAACTGGTGTGAGATGGTATCTCATTGTTGTGTTGATTTGCATTTCTCTGATGGCCAGTGATCCAGTGATGATGAGTATTTTTTCATGTGTTTTTTGGCTGCATAAATGTCTTCTTTTGAGAAGTGTCGGTTCATGTCCTTGGCCCACTTTTTGATGGGGTTGTTTGTTTTTTTTCTTGTAAATTTGTTTGAGTTCATTGTAGATTCTGGATATTAGCCCTTTGTCAGATGAGTAGGTTGCGAAAATTTTCTCCCATTTTGTAGGTTGCCTGTTCACTCTGATGGTAGTTTCTTTTGCAGTGCAGGAGCTCTTTAGTTTAATTAGATCCCATTTGTCAATTTTGGCTTTTGTTGCCATTGCTTTTGGTGTTTTAGACATGAAGTCCTTGCCCATGCCTATGTCCTGAATGGTAATGCCTAGGTCTTCTTCTAGGGTTTTTATGGTTTTAGGTCTAACGTTTAAGTCTTTAATCCATCTTGAATTAATTTTTGTATAAGGTGTAAGGAAGGGATCCAGTTTCAGCTTTCTACATATGGCTAGCCAGTTTTCCCAGCACCATTTATTAAATAGGGAATCGTTTCCCCATTGCTTGTTTTTCTCAGGTTTGTCAAAGATCAGATAGTTGTAGATATGCGGCGTTATTTCTGAGGGCTCTGTTCTGTTCCATTGATCTATATCTCTGTTTTGGTACCAGTACCATGCTGTTTTGGTTACTCTAGCCTTGTAGTATAGATGCAGAAAAGGCCTCTGACAAAATTTAACAACCCTTCATGCTAAAAACTCTCAATAAATTAGGTATTGATGGGACATATCTCAAAATAATAAGAGCTATCTATGACAAACCCACAGCCAATATCATACTGAATGGGCAAAAACTGGAAGCATTCCCTTTGAAAACTGGCACAAGACAGGGATGCCCTCTCTCACCACTCCTATTCAACATAGTGTTGGAAGTTCTGGTCAGGGCAATTAGGCAGGAGAAGTAAATAAAGGGTATTCAATTAGGAAAAGAGGAAGTCAAATTGTCCCTGTTTGCAGATGACATGATTATATATACAGAAAACCCCATTGTCTCAGCCCAAAATCTCCTTAAGCTGATAAGCAACTTCAGCAAAGTCTCAGGATACAAAATCAATGTACAAAAATCACAAGCATTCTTATACACCAATAACAGACAAACAGAGAGCCAAATCATGAGTGAACTCCCATTCACAATTGCTTCAAAGAGAATAAAATACCTAGGAATCCAACTTCCAAGGGATGTGAAGGACCTCTTCAAGGAGAACTACAACCCACTGCTCAATGAAATAAAAGAGGAAACAAACAAATGGAAGAACATTCCATGCTCATGGGTAGGAAGAATCAATATCGTGAAAATGGCCATACTGCCCAAGGTAATTTATAGATTCAATGCCATCCCCATCAAGCTACCAATGACTTTCTTCACAGAATTGGAAAAAACTACTTTAAAGTTCATATGGAACCAAAAAAGAGCCTGCATCGCCAAGTCAATCCTGAGCCAAAGAACAAAGCTGGAGGCATCACGCTACATGATCACTCTTATACTTTCATGGCATCTTTGTTTCCATAGCTCTAGCCAAAGTTTATTATATAGAAAGATTTTAGTGATTATTTGTTTTAATCATACAGTTTATTACTCACAAGGGTATAAACTCTCCAAGGATAAGAACCATGTCTGCTTGTACTTACCACTGTGACCCTCAATACCTGCTACATAGTAGATACTCAATGAAATAGTCACTAATAGGGAATAAATACAGAATGCACTTAAAAATTCCAGCTTGGAATTCCACTAAAAAAAATCCACTAAAAAAAACCTGTCCATTTTTTACAGGTTGCATCACCCACAGACACAAGTAATTTTGACAGTTTCCCTGAGGACAACGATGAACCACCACCTGATGACAACTCAGGATGGGATATAGACTTCTAATGTATTTCTCTTACCTGCTTCTGCCTTGCTGAAGACAGCTTTTTCTGAGACACAGCTGCCAGCAAACCTGAGGGAAAGAGAGAAGATTAGTGCTCGGGGTCACCATGATGCCTTTGATCGATGCTGCTCCAGTAACTACAGTGGCATTAGGACTTACCGCTTAGATGACAATAGTGCTCTTTACATGTTTTCTGTTTGAACCTAAAATAGCAGTTGACATGGTGGTCCTGAAGCAAAGCCTTTCACCAGTAAAAGATGTTTTCTATTGTTGCAATGACCTTGCTTTGCTCTGATTATAATTTGAAAGACTGTAGGAAACACTTCAATGTAGTATAAGAGTCTGTACCTTGCTGGAATATTCAAGAAGATGAAAGAATAATATATTGGGTACAATAGATTACTATGGTACAGAAACTGGGCTATTCCCTTTCTTCAAGTGAAGGCTGTGGGATCTATTACTGCAGGCCGGTGTATATACCATACAAAAGAGGACCACACATCTGTTGGTCACAGAGTTCATGTCACACCAGTGCTAGAAGTTTCATGATTTTATTTCCCAGCAGTGCTGATGACAAGACTGAATGTTACCTTTTCTTTCTGACAGATTTTAAAAATTGATATGATAAAAGCACAACTGCTATAGATTCTGCTGAGACCTCTCATAGTAGGTATATATGAGTTTTCACAGAAGACTGAAAAATAATGCATGATATTTGTTTGTTTTTTTTGATAAATTGGCATGACAGAGTGGGGAAAAAAAGCAATTCACAAAACCATTTCATATTTTTTAAAATATTGTGCTTAAAGATGGTCCTGGAAGTAAATGACTAGCAGCCAATTGGTTTTACTTAACATACCCTCAAACTGAGGCTTAAAGTATTCCCTTTTATAAAAATAAATGCTTGGGGTAGGGTGGAGTGGGGAGGGATTAAAACCCATCCAAAAAATAAATAAAAACTATATAGGTGCTATGTATATCTTTCATCTGTAAATGTCAGTGTCTGAACAGACAACACAAATTCAAATCATTATACGTGTAGCCAGAAACTCAAGCATTTTCACTAAAGTTATTAAACCAAACTCCTGTCCAATTTCACTTATACAACATAGTCAGTCTAGAGTTGAGAGACAAAGGTAATTATAAACCTATTTGAACTAGCTTCTTGTCTTAGGCCTGAACCAAAAAACAACAAACAAACAAAAAACAAGAATGAAAAACAGAAATAAAAGAAGTAGAAAAGACAAAGAAAGAAAGCCCAAAGTCAAAGTTGTTAATATTTACAGGTTTACCAGATCTGGAACATTACTTATTTGAGGTCAGAGAACAAAACAAGAACCTGGCCAGGTGTTGATTACCTTTTAGTGAATAAGCTGAGTCCATATACTTGTCTAACTAAGAAAGCAGTACAGAGGAAAACAGGAACCTGATTTTTTTAAAATAAATTTTAAATAAAATAGAATTACTACAATTCTGCAATTTCATACTACCTAAAAAAGACTAGATTTGAAAATGTCAAGCTGATTTACTTTATTCACATGGAGAAAAGAATCCACAAATTAAACTGAGTCCTTCACTGGCATGCCAGTTGACTATTATTAGCTGTCATAAGTAACTCAGCCATTTGGAAGCATTTCCTGGACAAAATTACATTATACCTGTGAAGAAAAATATAGAAGCTTTCAAGCTGTCATTCTGTTTTGGCCCTGTGTGAATTTGGTATATTAAATTGACGCTTGCTTTTTTTTTCAGTAGAGTTTTCTTTTTAATCAATCAAACGCCTACATTTCTGGAAGAAAAAGTCCAATTAGATCATTACACCTTAACTAAGAAGGCAAATCTTATAAATTTTGCTTGAATTGTTCTTACTCAAAACTACCTTAGAATATGGTATCTTATGAAAATATAATATTCTTAAAATTTTGGAGGATAAAATGAAAAGGGTATAAACTTCAATTAGAACTTTAATCCTAAAATATTGTTATTCTTGTATTTTTGGAGTTTTCCGTCCCTTACAATTTCTCCAAATTGGTCTATTCCCCAAGATATCCACTGTTTTCTACAGATTTTAGAATATAAAATTAAACATATCAACCTAAAATCTAGCTATGAATGTTATTTCAAGAGTTTTATATTTTTAATTGGCTTTTTAAAAATATGTAATTCCAATATTATAGTGAATGTTCAGTAACTTTTGTTGAAAGATAATGTGGTTTAGGCTTGCTAAAGAAAGGCTTGCTAGAATACTAAATTTACCTTGTTATTTGGAAAGAGAATCTGCTCCTATAACGTTTTAAAAATCCCCAAAGTCCCAGAGATTAGCACTTGCTATGGATTTTGGAACTATGGTTCAAGTCTAAGACAACCAATATGAATAAGTTCAATGGAGAAGGAAGAAGTAGCATTCAGCACAAGAAACTGTAGATTGTTTCTCCCACTTGTTACTGCATCTTTGTTCATTTCACCCATAGCATTGCATTTGATGTCTGAAGTAATTACCACAAAATAAAGGTAAACTACATCTTCCAAGATGTACCAACAGAAAACATTCGTCTAATTTTGTCAACATTGAATTTTTAGGATTTAAATCTTGTCTTAATGAAGACTCTAGGGCTAAAATTCATGGTCAGTTCCATAAAATGCATCTCACTTTATTTCTGAATTTTTCACAACCCCTCTATTTTCTTACATTAAAGAACATCTGGATAAGTTAGAATAGTGCCAACTTGTTTGATTTGTTATATGATTTTCTTGTTAATGTGTTGAGTATGGGAAATAAGGGCTTTCTGTGTGTCTTGACTCACAGGAAAACTGAAACTGCCAAGGGAAGCAACATTAAAACAACTGGGATAGATTGAATACATTTGAAAAAATAATTTCTGGAAAAACGCTATACATGCTTTTTATGTTTATATCTTCTTTCTTATTAAGACATGAATCAGATCCATGTGGCATTCAAAACAAATTTATTTTGGTTATATTCTTTACAAGTCATAATTTTTACCTAAAATTGTGGAATATGCATGTGAATTACACATGTGTAGTAATAAACTCAACTATTGAATTTTTCCTGTTTCATTTCTAAATGACTGAACTGATGGTAAACAAATTTAATGAAGTCAGCTACCATGTTGAAAATAAGGATATTAGAACTGATTTCATACAATAGAGGTGATCTGTGCATTATCCATAACAACGTTTTCTTTCACTATAGGACCACAGACAAATATTTATGTAAATAGGTATTTTTGTGTGATATTTTGTGGTACATATAACTTTTTTTAGTGTTTCACAGCATTATTATTTCATTTTATTTGTATTGAATAATGTTTTTAGGTCCAAGTAGACTTGAATTAATGTCATAATTGTCAGTATTATTGAAAATTATGTCAACTGTACTGTTATTCATCTGTCCCATAGTTTAGAACATGACCTGGCTATCTGGCATTGTTGCAAGTGCCTTAAATTCATGGCATCCTATTAAAAAAACAAATTTGGTGTTATGCTGCATGACAAAGACAAACACACCTCAAAATGTTGTCCTTTCTTAGCTTGCTGCGTTTTACAGTTCTTTCTGCTAACAATTTATAAGCCTTTATTATATAATATTGATGAATTACAGAAATGATGAAGTTGTTCTCTTATTTCTGTTAAATGTACCAGAGCTGTGTATCTGTTAATGAGATACAGCGTCATTTCTGTGAAATGTATAAATGTATGTGCAGGTCAAATTAATATATGACATTCTATCAGTCTGTATACAGGTATTCCTGTTTTGCTAAGCTGTGCAGATTCTGTAAAAATAAATTAGTGCAGTCAAGTTCTAACATATCTCATTTTATAGACTCCATTGACAATGGTCCAACCGAAAAGAAAAATTGGAAATGACTGCTAACCAGACCTCGTTATGAAACCAATGATGAAAAAGTCACTTGGTGCACCTCTCAACAAAACAGGATGCTTTTTCCGAGTTCTTGTATATGCAAATCATTTACGAGGCAAGTTTTCAACAGACCTAGAAAGCAAAACATTGAAAGTGTGTTGTTAGCCCTCCTCTCTGCCCCTGAATCAACAGACAGAGCTCTGGGACCTTGGCAATGACTCAGAGGTTGGGGCTTTCTGAGTAAAGGGACATTTCTTTAAGCATCATCTATCAAATTTATTTCAATGTATGATGTTTTTACAACTGGTCAGTTCTTTTGTATTCTTACAGCTATGGTTATTTGATTGTCCTCTTACAATTTGTTCTACATGAAAGAGTTCTTTGTTAGTCAGAATGCAACAAACTGTCATCAAATGGTCATTGACCACTTGCACTCTTTTGATGTAGATTAAAAACTTTTTCATAAATTTACCTGCTTTGATTTGCTCTGTATTTTTCCTGCAGCTGTAATTGCTGAGTGCCTGTTGTATACTTTATAGAGTTGAAATAAAAAAATAATTACTTTTGAACTTAGTTGATGTTTAATTCCAGACAAGATTCCAAGAATAGAATTGGTATATCATACTAGATGAAATACCAGGTAGTGCTGTTGTAGAATGTCACTATAACAAAGTAGGAAATACCTATAATCCAAGCATCCCTCATGAAATAATATACTATATTATAATCTAATATAAAACTAATCCAACAAATTGGTTTTAAAGAATTCATAGGAATAATGTTGGGCCATCCAGTGTGAAAAGCAAAGTGAATATAGATATTCACACAAACTCAGAAATTAGCAGATTTCTGAGCATGACCACCACACAGTCCTTTTTTGGGCTATCCCTAGTCAAACTCTGTACTAGGCAAAACAATCAAAGGGACAATTCTTGTATATTACTACATCCTAGGAGGAAATGATTTCATATGAAAAGCAACTTCATGAGTCTTTGTCCAAGGATTTTTCACCTGATTCCTTGGCTTCATCATATGCACAAAGAAGAAACATTTGGGGAACAATATGATTACAACAAATTCAACTCTCCAAAGCCTAGTTAAACATATTCTTTCTACATCCCTTTGTCCTTCTCTGCAGTAAATGATGCACACATGAAAACTGGCTGCAGCATGAAGATTCTCTCAATTACATTGTTTTTGTCTTTTTGACCTCACATTGCCAGTGACAGTGAGTTGAAAACCCTTGTTTGATGAAAACTAGAAATTCAGTTAACTTTTTCAGATAAAGTCAATAAAACCACTTGAAAAAATACTATGTCACGATTGCACATCCAGTAATTTCATTTCTTCTGCAAATAGAACTGTAATATAAGCTTTTAACATCCATCCTTTAAGTTATATGATTTTTCATACCCTTAATCTAAGAGTGTTCTTCTTGATCATGAAAGGGTTTTGTTTTTGTACTAATTGCACAGTTTTGGGAGGAGCACGCAGATCAACACAATCATTAGAAGGATAGGGAGGAGGAGACGTCAGTGATGGTGATGATGTTGCATCTACATCACTCACATCTTGTGCATACTAATTTCAGTGGGAATAAATCAGTGTGCAATTTTTCAAGAATGACAATAGGAATCAATTCTAAATTTGAAAGAAATGGATTGATTGTGTGATCATCCAAATGATACCCAAGTGTAAATATTACAATGTTACGCCTGCAGACCTACCTTTAGATTCTTAGTTATAGCCCTGTGTGTCATGCTCATAATACAGGCCACCACATTAATGTTTCTTTTGTGTGGGTGGGTTGTGTTTGAGACAGGGCCTCACTCTGTCACCCAGGCTGGAATGCAATGGCACAATCTCAGCTAACTGCAGCCTTGACTTTGTGGGCTCAAGGGACCCTCCTGCCTTGACCTACCAAGTATCTATGACTACAGGTGCACATCACCATGCCCAGTTAATTTCACACTAACTTTTTTTTTTTTTATTGAGAGTCATATTGAGAGCTTTCTTCTGTGTCCCCAGACTTCTCCTTTCTAACTCAAAAAGTCCTATAAATTGATAAAACAGTAATATTTATCTCTGGCAGCTGTTTTTTATCCAAGGTGAGTCTATGGAACAAAAGACAAATCTATCTATCTACCTACATGCCCATTAGCAAAGCCAAACAGGTTAAGCCTCAAACTTGTGCAAAAAAAAATTATAGAAAGAAAAAAAAAAAGGAAAACAAGGTATCTCTAACAACCCAAAAGTCTGGCCACAGATTTTATAAAAATTCATGGACAAGCTCTAGACATAGGATCTAAGCCAGTGTTTTTCAAACATTACTGTCATAAGATGTATCTGGGAAATAATATAAAAACATAGGTTTCTAGGATAATCCAAAGTTATTTTGAGGTATAACCCAGGAATCTGAATTTTTAACCAGCCCATTAGTGTATTTTGATACATCTCTATGAGGTAGAAGCAGGAGAAAAGGATCCATGGAGAAACATTTCAGGAATGGTGGGGTAAATGAGGTAAACAGAAAAAAATAACTCTGTAAAGAATCATGGACATCCAAAGCCTATAAATGCTCTCAGAAATGTTAAATGGCATTTATATTCCACCCATAGAAGTGTTCTTTCAATTAACATATTAAAATGGGCTATGAATAATAAGCTACTTTTTGTTAAGGAATAGACCCATGTCTTGATTTGCAAAGCCAAAAATGTATATGTATACCCACCTCTGGTATCTGGTACATCAGTGCAGGATACTAGGAGTTAATTTGCAGGAGGACTCTTAGTCCTCTGGGGAGAAATGATACTGGTGACCTGAGCGCTGGCTCAGCTGGATTTTGGCCACAGTTCATCAATGTCTGATTTCCCTCCCTGGGGCACTTTTCTGTGCCATGTAAGTCAGGTTTGGCTTTTTGACTTGCTTTGGCGGTTGAAAGGTGAGCCTTGTCACTGCTGCAAACAGAAGCTTTAAGAGCCAGTTCTTGCTTCATTACATTCTCCTTTACCTGTGATGTTGTGATCAGCATTTCCTCAACAGTGGCTGCCCTGTCAGCTTCAGAAGCAGAGTAAGGACAGTGATGAGAAGGAGTGGAGCCCCTCACCAACTCCCAAAGGCTTTACAGTGGAATATATTGTTGTTTTGAACCACTAAGATTTTGGCTTTGTCTATTTCAACAGGATTTCGCCCATTCCGACTGATACAACTGTCACATTCAAAAGAAAGGTGAGGCCTGCCCTAGCCTCTGCAAGGTGATTTATCACTGTAGAAAATAACAGGCAGAAAATAACAGAATAAATCTTTAGACCCTGAGTCACAGGCAGTAAAAACTGCAGTGAAGACTTGAATTCACCCAAATGCCCAATCTTCTGGCAGAAACTACCTCAAACTTGACATAGCAAAGATACATTTTAAGAGAGTAATGGAAGGAAACATTTTAAGAGTCCAGACCATCTAAGGTTGGTGCAATGATTTACCTGGGCAATTTGCATGAAGACTTTCAAATTCAGAAGCACTGGTACTAAAGCATGAGAAGCAAAGAGGCCAGTAGAAATTATGTTAGACATGGAATCGGGGGATTTGTAATTCCTAGGAAGAACATGATTCTTCAAGGTTCCTGGAAAGAAGTGAGAGTGGAGAGATTTTACAATAAAAGCAAGTTGGAATAGGAACAACATACCATCTTAACCATAATTCTAAATGTCTTCTGTGTAACCCTTTGCTAATTACATGTGCCACAAATTACTATGTAAATGGAAGTGAATTACTTAGGGCCTTGGTTTCCTGACCCATAAGAAGATTATTAGAGTTATTTTTGGTAATAAAACTCTCTGCTTTTAAGTTCCTTCACTTACAACCTCCCTGCCAGGGCTGGCAAACTGTGATGCACCATCTAAATTTGTCTCACAGCCTGTTTTTGTAAATAAAGTTTTATTGGAACAAACATATTGTCTGAAGCTGCTTTCATGTTACAACAACACTTGAGTAGTAAGCTAGAGGCTGCATGGCAGGTAAAGCCTAAAATATTTACTATCTGGGCCTTTCCAGAAAAGGTTGCCAATCTCTGATCACAAAGGAAAGGCTTGCAATGAGCTGATGATTTTCAAGTTCAGTTCTCCATAGAGCTTCAGAACATTGAAGTAATGTCTCAGAGTCTACCGGGATGGAATAGGGAGAGGAGTACCTGGATTAACAAAAGGGGACATGCAGGGAGTAAGCTCCACAGGCTCCAGATTTCTAATTCTGATTCAGCCAGAAAGGTTACAATATTATTTGTTTTACATATCAGTTTAACATATTCTAATGTTAAACCACCCATATGTATTTATGTATATATATGTGTGCATATCGTATATATGTATATACACATATATATGTATACACATGTATATATACACATATATGTATACACATGTATATATACACATACATGTATACACATGTATATACACACATATGTATACACATGTATACACACACATATGTATACACATGTATATACACACATATGTATACACATGTATATACACACATATGTATACACATGTATATACACACATATGTATACACATGTATATACACACATATGTATACACATGTATATACACACATGTACACATGCACATATACACACATGTACACATGTGTATATGCACATATGTACACATGCCTATATGCACATATGTACACATGCCTATATGCACATATGTACACATGCCTATATACACATATGTACACATGCATATATACACATATGTACACATGCATATATACACATATGTACACATGTATATATAGAAATATAATTTAATGTGTATTTAATATTCCATTGGTATATTTGCCACTCTATGCAGTACTATCAAACTGGCTCAGTTAACATGGTGTATAAATATTATTTATATCTTATGGGGTACCCCCACTGCCCTCCGTCCCTCCATCCCCCTAGCTTTTTGTCTTTAAAATTGTTTTGGCACACTAGAGTCCTTTTATTCTACATAAATATTAAAACCATATGGTCATGTTTCATGAAAACACCTTTTAGGATTTTGATTAGAATTATTTTTAGTTCATAGATTAATGGGAGAAATGACAACCTTATGATTTTAACTTTTTCCACTCGTGAGCATTATTTACAGTTTATAGAATGTCTTCAAAAGCATTTTTAATACAATTCATTTACATATTTGGTTGCTATTAAAATAACATTTTAACATATTATACTCTCGAATATTATAAAATAGTGGCACAGAGAAATTCAATTGATTTCTTCGTTTTTTTTGAACAGTCTCACTCTGTTGCCCAGGCTGGAGTGCAGCAGTGCTATCTCGCCTCACTGCAACCTCCGTCTCCTGGGTTCAAGCAATCCTCCTGCCTCAGCCTCCCAAGTAGCTGGGACTTACAGGTGTGCACCACCATGCCTGGCAAATTTTTGTATTTTTAGTAGAGACAGGGTTTCACCATGTTGGCCAGGCTGGTCTTAAACTCCTGAGCTCAAGTGATCCATCCACCTCAGCCTCCTAAAGTGCTGGAATTGCAGGCGTGAGCCACTGTGCCCTGCCAATTTCTTGCATAGTGCTCTTATGTCCACCATCCTTGCTGAAATTTTACTGATTAATGTCTATGTCTATTTTTTGGTTATTTATAAAGATAATATTGTCATCTCTGAATAACGAAATGTTGTATTTAACTCTTTATAGTTCCAATCAGTAATCTTTTTCTTGAAGTAATGGGCTGGCTAGGACTCCACGTAAATGTATAATAATAAAATTACAGTTGGCATCCTTGTCTCTTTTCTGATTTTAAATTTCATCATTAGATGTTTGATACAGGTTTTATACACATACACACGATCATATTAAGAGAGTTCTTAGTTGGTCAATCTTTTTAAAAAATCAAAATTCTGTTTCAGCATACATTAAGATGGGCATGTTACTTTCTTAATCCTTTTATTGTGGTCGACTTGGTGGAAGATGTATAACACATCTAATGTTAAGCCACCCATGCTTCCTTGGCATGAATTCAACTTTGTCATTACATGCATTTTGAATATATTGGTGTTTTTGATTTACCAATGTTATATTTTATTTATTTATGTATTTTAGAGACAGGGTCTCTCTGTCACACAGGCTGGAGTGCAGTGGTGCAATCCTAGCTTACTGCAGCCTCAAACTCCTGGGCTCAAGTGATCCTCGAGGTCGCCTCAGCCTTTTGAGTAGCTGGGACTATAGACACATATCACACACAGCTAGGTTGTTTATTTTTTATAGAAATTGGGTCTTGCTATATTTCACAGTCTGGTCTCAAGCTCCTGGCTTTGAATGATCCTCCCACCTTGGCCTCCAATATTATATTTTAGACTTTTCTGTCTATGATCTCAAGAGAGTAGCCTAAAAGTCCCCTTTCTTGAATTATCCTCATCTGTTTGTGTATAAAGGTTATACTAACCTACTTAGTTAGGTTAGTCTTCTCATCCAGAAAACAGAAATATATGGATATATACTCCACTTCATTACCAGGAACTGTAAATTTAAAAATTAAAATAAACCATTTTTATTCATGAGATTTGCAAATTAAAGTTTAAAAGTAGCAACATGTTGGTTAGAATGTAGAGCAATGTAAAATTTTCATATCTGCTGGTACAAATGGGAATTTTTACAAATTGGAAGAATAATTTTCCAATATTTAACAAAGTTGAAAATGTCTGTATCCTATAACTGAACACTTCTCTTCATTGGTATATTTCCTAGAAAAAAAGTTCATACACATTCACTAGGAGATATATATATATATATATATATATATATATATATATATATATCTCAGCATATCTTCAGAAGAATTTTGAAATAGTAAAAAATTTAGAAGTCAAACTGCCCATCACCTGGATAATAGACCATTAAATCTGGTGTATTCAAACAATAGAATATTATATGAAAGTGAATATAAATGCATTAGTTAAATTTAACATGGCTAAATTTCAGAAACAGCGCTAAATGAAAAAATTGCATAATACAGTGTGACAACATTTATATAATTTTTTAGGTGAGAAACTTTTATTTTGGGGGAAATGGCAGATTCAGTTATTTGAATCAACTCTCTTACTGAAAATTTAAAACGCTACTACATATGTATATGTATATGTATATGTATATGTATATGTATATGTATCTGTGGGTGTGTATGTTACATCCCTCTCTCTCTCTTAAAAATCTCAAAAAGTTGGCAACATACTAAGAAAAAGCCAAGTCAAAATCTAAGGGAACACGGGAACCATGAAAGTGGGCCACTGAAACTTTATTTGCTCTGAGAACATTTCTCGAGTCTGTTGAAGTAGAGCTTTGGTTTAATAGCCACCTGGGACAAGGGATATATATATAAAAGTCAATATTCAAGGACTACAATTTTTAAAAATTAAATGGCATAAACTTACAACTAAAGTACATTAAAATAATAGTATATAAATGTTACAAAAATTATATAAAATATATACTCAAAATATATACTCAAAACTTATTACTACCTAAATATATTACTTCATTGTACTATTGCATATCCTCTTGAAATTATTTATATCAATTGTATCTGTATGGGGCTCAGTGCAGTGTCTCATACCTGTAATCCCAGTGTTTTGGGAGGCTGAGACTGGAGGATCTCTTGAGGCTAGGAGTTCAAGGCCAGCTTAGGCAACATAGTGAGATGCTGTCTCTATTTAAAAAATCATTTTTAATTATCTGGGCCTGGTGGCGTGCATCTGTAGTTCTAGCTATGCTTATAATCCCAGTTCTTTGTGAGGCTGGGGCAGGTGGATCACTTGAGTCCAAGAGTTTGAGGTTGAAGTAAGCTATGGTTGCACCACTACACAGCAGCCTGGGCAACAGAGCAAGACTCTGGTAAAAAAAAAAAAAAAAAAAAATTGTACCTATATGGTGAAAGCACTGTATAATTGTGAGCACATCTTCTCATTTCCATGGTCAGTGGAGTCACAGTTTTCACTTGAAATTGTCTTTGATGATTAATTTTATATGTTAACTTGATTGGGTTCAGGGATACCCACATCACTGGTAAAACAGTATTCTTGGTTGTGTCTCTAAGGGTGTTTCCAGAAAAGATTTGCACTTGAATTATTAGATTGAGTAAAGAAGGCTTGTCCTCTCCAATATGAGCAGGCATCATCCAGTCCACTGGGGGCCTGAACAAAAAAGAAGAAGGAAGGGAAAAATCTCTCTCTTCTTGATCAGGGACTCCATCTTCTCCTACCCTTGCACATCAGAGCTCTTGGACCCGCAGAGTTCTTAATAGATTTTTTTTTTTTTTTTGAGATTGGAATTTGGTTCTTGTTGCCCAGGCTGGAGTGCAATGGTGTGGTCTTGGCTCACTGCAACCTCTGCCTCCCAGGTTCAAACAATTCTCCTGCCTCAGCCTTCTGAGTAGCTAGGATTACAGGCATGAGCCACCATGCCCAGCTAATTTTTTTGTATTTTTAGTAGAGACGGGGTTTCACCATGTTGGCCAGGCTGGTCTTGAACTCCTGACCTCAGGTGATCCACCCACCTCAGCCTCCCAAAGTGCTGGGATTACAGGCGTGAGCCACCACACCCGGCCTAGATTTTTTTTTTTTTTTTAAGAGATTGGATCTCACTCTCTCACTCAGGCTGGAATGCAGTGGTGCAAACAAGGCTCACTGCAGCCTTCACCTCCTGGGCTCAAGCAATCCTCCCACCTCAGCCTTGCAAGTAGCTGAGACTACAGATTACAGGTATGTGCCATCACATCCGGCTAATTTTTTATTTTTAGTAGAGATGGGGTCTCACTGTGTTGCCTAGGCTGGTTGTGAACTCCTGGGCCCGCCCATGCAATCCTCCTGATTCAGCCTCCCAAAGTGTGATTATCGGCATGAGCCACCATGCCTGGCCTCGATAGATCTTTTTTAAGGAAAAGAAAAGCACCTTTAATTGACTAATATTTGCCTTTCAGTGCCTATAAAAACAGGAAAAAAAATCTGTTTCTCTCCTATTCTTTACATACTTGTAAGAAAGTTCCAAAAAAAAAAAGTTCCACTTATTTACTTACTTATTTTTCTAATCTCAGCTGTGAATTAAACCCTAGCAAAGTAATTTTTCAAACAAGTTTAGGACTTTGCCTGCAAATCAGGAACTCTAAATACAAAGAAAACATGCATTTTAAACCTTTAGACTTCACAGCTCTAGCCACAGTTCCCTTCTAAAATTCTTAGTGTAAATGATACTAGTAAATGGTATTAGCAGGAAGGCGTAGAAGAATATGCCCCTAATAGAAAGCTAATTCACCACTCTACTCTGCCTCAGTGCTTCCATAGCTTCTAAGTAAGCTTGTGGCTCTGCTGAATTCACAAAGCTGTTGGTATCTGCAAAATGTTTTTCATTTCTTTTTCAAACTTAGAGCTTACTTTAAAGAATATGATTCTCGTGGTAAACAGAATCAGCTGGATTGCAGTAATATTATGAGAAGATGGAGATACTGATGGAGAAAATAGCACAATCAGGAAATGTAGACAAGTATAATGAATATACTAATGACATTTTGAGAGGTTTTGATAGAGGTCGATGTGCTTTTTAAAGTCATTATTATAAATATATTTTAGAATATCATCCTAAAATAATAGTATACAATTTTTTACTTAGCATCTAACTGATAGCTACAAAATGAGTACACAATTCATATTGAACTGAATGTTTAGAGATGGCATTTCTTACACATCTTCCATGATCTTTTCTTCTTTAAAAGAAATCTTTAAAAAAAATAGAACTTTTTTTTTTCTGCCAGAACTCTTCAAAAAACATCAGACAGAAGAACAAAATTGGGTCTAGTTTAAAATATTGGCTATCAATAAAATGCACAACTGCCATTAACATATATGTTAACAGTTGCATATACTATGCTAGGACCTGCACTTCCAATATGTTGTTTTATTAATTTTCCTGCTGTTCCTTTTCTCCTTGTGCATCATGTTGACTCAAATGAAGTGAAACTGTTAAATAGTACATTATAACTATTGTTTTGCATAAACTATTGAATGTTTTTATCTTCCTTTTGAAAATGTAAATCTGAGATTAATATTTTTATTATCCAAATTAATTAAAAAAGCATATTCTGTTATATTTTCATTCTCCCTGAATAGTTACATTGTTTGAGCTTTCTTAATATTTGTTTAGCCTAGCATTTCCCTATAACATTATATATTAACATACTAATCTGGAGACCCAGACATTTTTATCCAGCAATGCAATATAGAGCCTTTGAACTTCAACCAAACTAAAACATTTAATAAGAACCTAAGTTTCGCACCCCAGCTCCCTTTTATTTTTTAAGTATATGGTGGTGACAGTACCAGACCTTATTATTTTAATTCTACCATGTGTAGATTTAATTTTTCAACAAAACATTATGTGGAATATTAAGAAGGACAAAATATATTTGGCTTTAGAGAGTTTGCAGCATAGGGAGTTATGAAAATACACAAGTAATTGGACCTAGAAAATAAATATAACTACAGGATTAATACATACTTTTCCCTACTAAGAACTTCTACGGAAATTCCACCAGGAGGCAGCAGAAGAGCGGGTTTCTCCCACCTCCCCCCGGACGCCGGAGACACCGCGGAGCCTGATGTCCCTCAGAGCTTTAATCTTCCCCTCAGTCGCCTTTCCCCTCACCCGCCTCTAATTAAGTCAGAAAGGCCCTGTATTTATTTGCCCATGAACTGACACAGCAAACCAACAGCAGCCATTGTAGTGTGAATGGATTTGCGACCAGGCAAGGGGCTTCAGCCGGGATTACCCGCCCCGCAGCCGGATGAATGTGCTGAGCACAAAGTCTGCTCAAAGCCGAGCAAACGGACTATTTGTGAAAATGCCATCCTGGCTCAAGTCTGATTAAGACCGGGGGTCCCCAGGCCGTTTGATCTTCGCTCATCAAAGAGAGTCTTTAAACAAGCTTCATTTTACACTACTGTATGCTAGCGACGGGTTGTGACACCCAAGTGCAGCCACCGTGAGCACCCGGCACTGGGAGCGCGTGAACAATAATGGGGGATTCGCCGTGCTGCGCCGTGCAGGGCGCGGGGCCTGCGCGCTGGGAAACGCGCCCGCACTGGAGGCAGGGCCGTTGCGGAAGGACTCAGGCTTGGGAGCCCCTAGGTTGGCCAGCCAGGTAGTTCCCTGACGTGACTCCTGCCACGGACTCCTAGACTCCTCTGAAAATTATTTTACTTTTGTAACTTAAGGGTGATGAAGAATCCTTACACGAGTTAATTATACATCCCTCCTGCTCTTCCCCGCCAAAAGTTAATAGTTCTATTTAATAGCCTACATCTTCCACTCTTCAGCATTTCTAAGACTGGGTGTCAAGACTAAAGTGTTTTTAAGGTCCTACTTTCTACTTTTCACCTTAAGGTCCTTTACAATTCACCAGTTGGAGAACTGGTGATAGCTGAAAACATCAGCTTTAAATATTACAACCAATTTTGTGATGGGAAAACAACCTCCACACACACACACATACACACACACACACACACACTTTTTAAAAAGTCGCCTGGTCCAAGTAATTCACCTTATTTCCAGGCACTTAATACTTACATGCTAGTCTCTTCAAAATCGACATGCTCAGTATCAGTGTCAATGATTATTACTTGATCTTTAGGCTGCATAAAAGAACAGACTCCTTGCAGGATGTTCTTATTTAACCTGAGTACAAAAGGCCTTCTCTTGGCAGTGCTGAAAGAAAAAGAAAAGAAAGAGAGAGAGAAAGAAAGGGAGACTTTTGTAGTGAAAAGGAACCTCTCCATCTCCCCTGCATCCCATTTTATAAAGAAAAGCCAGTACCACACCAAGAGTTAAATGGCTTTCCCATATTTAGGAGCCAGATTATGGCTGACACCCTATACAGAGTACCATCCCTAGCCTCTTAACTCCTTGGCACGATGCCTTTCTTGGCCATACCCTGGGAGAAGATCTGTCTTATAAAGGAGGTAATAATAGGAACCCAGTGACATGGAAGAAAATTGTTTTTCTGTAGATGCGGAGACTGTGTCATGGGATCCTACATCTTGCTTTCTGCAGACACTGGCCTATCCTTAGGGTTGGAGATGTTAAATCCTTTGGGGACTCAAAGAGGACATTGCACTCCCTATACCCACCACCACAGACCTTTCTGAGTGTCAGGACCTCAGAAAGGATGCAGGCAGATATCTATCTGGTTAGGCACTATCTTCACTGGGTTTAGAGGCTGGAACCCAGCCTCTACTCTCAGATTAGCTTTTAATGTCTTACTCCAGTAAAACACATCTTCTGAGCTTGGTTAGAAAGCTACCACGGAGCCTGATTTATCTGGGCTGGCCATCTCCACCGCCCAAATAAATGTAATCACGGTCAAATCTTGCCCTCTGTTTGTACTGGGGAGTGCAGAAAATCCAGCTCTCAGGGGAGTCATAACATGGACCAGGTCTAAAAGTTCTTTTAACATCATGAAGAACATTAAGACCAAACTGTTTTAAAAGTCAATGAGAAAGTCATATCATTTTTTACAAAACATCAGGAATGAGGAATCCCTGCTATACTCAAGATTGACACTAACAAAAATGTTGGCAACACCCACCGTAAGGAATGATATGTATGCGGTATTTTCCTAGCAAAGTAAAATTATATGGCAACAAATCTGCTTCTTTTGATTTAATGAAGAGAAAGAAGGAAAGAAGGGAAGGAGGGAGAGAAAAAAGAAAAGAGGAAAGAAGGGAATTTAAAATACAGCAGTAGACTGGGCGCGGTGTCTCACTCCTGTAATCCCAGCACTTTGGGAGGCCAAGGTGGGAGGATCACTTGAGCCTAAGAGTTTAAGACCAGCTCTGGCTAGCAACATAGTGAGACCCTGTTTCTACAAAAAAATTAAAAATTAGCCAGGTGTGGTGGCATGCAGCTGTAGTCCCAGCTACTTGGGGGTGAGGTGGAAGAACCGCTTGAGCCTGGGAGGTCAAGGCTGCAGTTAACCACGATTGCACCACTGTGCTCCAGCCTGAGCGACAGAATGAGATCCTGTCTCAAAAAATATATAAAAATATATAAAATAAAAAAAATCAGCAGTCACAAATAATAGAGATGGAAAAATAGTTGGTGAATAGCATGGAGTGTTTTGGAGTATATTTGTCTGTCTCCCTCATGGATGAAAAGGTTGAGAAATATTCTATGCATGGCATCCAGCACTTAAAATATAAAGAAGACATGTGTTAGCATGCTGTTCCCGAGTTATGAGGTTCAATTCCACGCTGATAAGCATATTTCACCTATTCAAAAATATAATACAAAATATTAAATTTGTTACATTAATTATGATCATATTTATACCAGACTGAATAGGAGGCAGGGTTCCCTACAGGACTAAATAAACTCAGTTTAATAAACTAAATTCATCTACTCTGGCTCCCACCTCCTCTGTCACCCAGCTGTAAGAGAGACTCAGACAATCACCAGAACCCTCTCTCCTTCCTAAGACATGTTGGTCACAGTTCCTGCACATTTTTCTTGCTCTCCATGACCTAGTATCTGCCAAAATATAATCGATGTTGGAAAAATTTTTACCCCCAGCCCCATGTAAGTATGTTGTATTTCCCCAACTAGTCACAGACTGAAAGCTGAGGACAAGAAGCCTGCCTTTCATATTGTGAGATATGCTCCCAATAATGGATACTCACCGAATATTAACTGGCTGCTGATGGAACAATGAGTTTTACTATACCTCTTTATCTACCTTGCACTCTTGTTGCCAATGAACAAACCACATCCTGGAAAGGATTTTCAAATGGAGAAAAAGTACTGAAAAAATAAATTTCCTCATTTGGAACAAAGGTTTGATTTGCTATGTACTTAGCCCTCTCTGAGGACCACCCATGTAATTTCTCCCCTGAATAATTTGTGAGGTTACCTCTCCTCTGCCCACTAAATGATTTGAAGGTAGATTATATGTGAACTCATCTTTTATCACACAATATCATGTATAATGCTTAGCACAAAGTAGGAACTCAGATATTGACCAACTCATTATTAGTTTTAAACTCATGACAACTTCAGGAGCAATGTGAAAGCTGAGGAAGGAGGTAGAAGCTAGCCCATTCTTGAAACTCTATGCTTGGTTTAGCTCTCCTAGCTCAATACCACAGATTCTGTCCAGACTCAGTGAATATTGAAACATAATAGACAAATGATATGTGTTCAGAGATCAAGGTTGAATTTATGCAACAAGCTTCTTTGTTATAACAGAATTTTCCTTTTGTTGATTAAATTGTTCCACTTTCTCTTCTTTTGCCCCAGGCAATGGATTTTTTTTGTGAAGCCAAGCTTTTAATGAACCAAGTTCATTAAATGTATTAATCATATACTATCTCTTCAGAAAAAAAGGCAAGAGATTGGCCTTTAGTGTGGCACAAATATATTTCTAGATTCAAAATATTTAAACAGGTTAATAGGACTAAAAAGAAACATTTTCAACCTTCTGATTGGCAGGCGGATTTTTCTCTACGTTTCAAAGTCATTCAAACTTAACACAGCTTGCAGATTTCCTAGTACACTGAAGGTGCTTAACGCATTGATTCCTGACAGGATAATTTCCTGGACAGATGGAATTTGGGATGGGAAGGACACTAATATAACTAGGGTACCATTCAAGAATTGTTTAGATGATCTTCTTAATATTACCTTTGAAACTGAAGGAACTAGAACACAGACCATAGTAAATTGTGTTTTAATTACTCCTTCTCCCAGTAAACTTTAGGATTTTTTTACTTTAAGATTGTCACTGGCTTTACTTGGTGGTGGCCCCAGTTCTGACTATAGTAGGTCAGCATGTGGAGTCATTATAGACAGCCTAAATCTATACAGCTTAGAGGAAGACAAAATAAATATATCTTACTCTTTTTTAATTCAATAGTGATTATTCAATCATCTCTCCCTTTTCCAAACTCACAAAACAGTTGCTTATTTTCTGACACTTATAATATCAACCTGTTTTTAAAAGAATTATGTATGCTTTTATATTTATTGCTATAATTTTATTGTTACTACATCTTTTATTATTACTGTAATTAGAATAAAGAGAACTTTATTATTTAAAATGAGAGCTGTGTCTCATAAATATTTGTATTCACTGTGCCCCTCCCCCCACCACCCATCTCACCAAAAAATTTAAAAAATAAAAATAAGGTAACAACCCAGAGGGCAGCCCAATGCCAGGGCTCTAGGCTTCCAATAAGTTTTTGTTGAATTAAATAGATCATTTCCCATTTATAAGCATGACATCATTCTTATACACCAGCCTTACTTTATTATATCCACACACCAATTTCAATGACGTCAAATTCACTTTCTAATTCACTTTCAGCTCTTCTTCTCCTCAAGGTTGTTTCTTTTCTCCCTAGAAAGGGTATTGCGTGGTCCCGTGCAAGGTAAGACTTGGGAGCAAACCCTGCATTCGGAAGCGTTGCGATGTGATATACTAATGAGGAAGTCAGGCGCTAAGCCCTAAGGGTTTCTTATTTCTCCACATTAGCCCACCACTGAGAAGGGAGAACCGGGGAAAGGCGACTGACCTGGCACGTTGGACCCTGTCCGCTTTGGTCCCGGCCACTTTGATCTCACGCGTCTGCCTAATCAAGTTCATCTACCGCCGCGATTGCCCTGATTCAAAGAACAACATTAAATGGTTTGATTATCGGATGGTCATTTCCCTCTTCCCTCCACCCCTGATCTAATTTCTAAACGCCAGTCTCTCGCCTCCCTCTCTAAACTTCCCATCAAAAGAGAATTAGCTCTTCTTCCTTCTTACCCTCGTTTGATGTGCAAATTTCCTTCTCTTTGCACATTTTTCTCGCAGTGGCGGGGGGAGGTGGGGGAGGAGGGCAACTGAAGGACCTCAAAGCCGGGGATCTAACTCAGATCTGCAAACTGCGACTCTAAAGGGTTAATGAGCAACTTGCACCCGCCACCTGGCCCTCTCAGAGGCGTCTTGCTAGAGCCATTGAATTACAGACCGGTTTGTATTTAATACTGAATATGACTTGTGTGCACAGTCAGCGAGTATTGGCATAAAGGAGAGGGGCAAAAAGTGCTTTTGCAGAGCCTATCACCCCTCGGCTCTGTAAAGTATTTCAGATCCGGATAATTCAACCCTTACTGCCAGGCAAGGGCACCCAAGTTCCCAGAGTTCCTGCTGCCGCCTGCATTTATTAAAGTCGTCTGCTATAACGCTCGCTGGTAGCCTTCACCCCGAAGGTGAGCCGGGCCAGCCGAGCGACTAAGCAAGGGAGGGGCGGGGTGAAGAGTGTCAAAGGCCCCCCTTCATGTACACAAACACACCCCCTCCCAGCCCCTCCCAGCGCTTTGAAATCCCATCCCGGCTTTGTTGTCTCCCTCCCAAGGGGCCGGAATGCTCCGGGCCCGCGGTATAAAGGCAGCCGCGGTGGCGGTGGCGGCGCAGAGCTCTGTGCTCCCTGCAGTCAGGACTCTGGGACCGCAGGGGGCTCCCGGACCCTGACTCTGCAGCCGAACCGGCACGGTTTCGTGGGGACCCAGGCTTGCAAAGTGACGGTCATTTTCTCTTTCTTTCTCCCTCTTGAGTCCTTCTGAGATGATGGCTCTGGGCGCAGCGGGAGCTACCCGGGTCTTTGTCGCGATGGTAGCGGCGGCTCTCGGCGGCCACCCTCTGCTGGGAGTGAGCGCCACCTTGAACTCGGTTCTCAATTCCAACGCTATCAAGAACCTGCCCCCACCGCTGGGCGGCGCTGCGGGGCACCCAGGCTCTGCAGTCAGCGCCGCGCCGGGAATCCTGTACCCGGGCGGGAATAAGTACCAGACCATTGACAACTACCAGGTGAGAGGGGTCGGGCACTCAGAGGATGCTCTGACCTTGAAAGGGTCCTATCTGGAGACGAGGGAGTAGAACGTGCTGAATGTGTGCGGTTCAGGGAGCATTTGGTAACCCTGCATTTGGGAGCAGTGGGCAGTAACAGGTTTTGGAGAGGTGGACAGATAAGGACTGTGATCAGCGCCCGGGTCCAAGAGGGCGGGTACCTGGACGTCTGGGTGCCTCACCCTCTCCCCGAACCCTTCCCACAGCCGTACCCGTGCGCAGAGGACGAGGAGTGCGGCACTGATGAGTACTGCGCTAGTCCCACCCGCGGAGGGGACGCAGGCGTGCAAATCTGTCTCGCCTGCAGGAAGCGCCGAAAACGCTGCATGCGTCACGCTATGTGCTGCCCCGGGAATTACTGCAAAAATGGTGAGTCCTGAAAGCTCCCTTTCACACTAAAACTGTCCAGCCTTTGAGCGTCTATGAATTGGGCGGGGGCGGGGGGTTGGGGGGGGTGGGGGGAGAAATCTCCGCCCTGAGAACACTGCGGCGCCACCTGCAAATGGGTGTTCAGCATGCAGGATTCCGCTGAAGTATCTTCATTGCAAGTGTTTAATCGGGAAGAAGAGAGAAGTTGGGAGGTCTCTGAGGTCCTTATCTTCCTCCGTGTCCCTCAATGATTCAATACAACGGTTCACCTCGTAGTGGACTCTTCCATAAAAATTTGTCTGGGGAGAACCTTGAGGTCAATTGAGAAGGGGGATGATGAGGAGGACGATGGGATCATACAGATATCAAAGAAACCAGCTTTGGCGTTCAGCTGTCCTTTTCATTTTTCTTATTGTGATTCTCACAGTTTTGCCAGACTGGCCTCGCCTTCTGATTTTTGCTGAAACTGTTGTCAGCCAGAGGACTGATTTATCTGCATTGGCCATTTTTAAGAGAGATCTTGGTACCCTCACAACTTGACTTCTCCATCCTTCCCCCTCCCTCTACCCTCTGCTGCCTTAATATAAGTACTCCTCCCCCCAACCACAGATCCACTAACTTTTAATTTTTCAAAAGGTGGATTTAGACAGCTAAAGAGGTCTCCAGAAATAAGCTAACAGGGCGACGACCCTCCTTAGGACCCAGCAGTACTCCAGGATGAACTAAGTAAATCTCTGTAATATAGAAATTACACAGTAAAGTAACTGGCCGGTGAGATTGCAATGTTCCAGGCAGCTGGAATTGCATTTGCTTAACTTAGTCTGGTAGGACCCATATAGCACCAGGGGCAGAGAAGTTATTTTTAAGAACATTTTTAAAGTGACTGAGTTTCTTTTTCTTACCCCAAAGGTAATATTAAAATGGGCAGAAATCTCACTTGCCCCTACCACAGTTGGTGGGAAAGTATTTTAAATGGCTATACTGGGGATATTACCTATGACTGACTGTATACAGTATACACATTGGTGCTTCTGTCCATCTGGAGAGTTTTGCATTAACAGTAAAGAGGAAGTTTGGCTTGTGTTTAAAATGATGTCACTGCAATGAAGTATCTCAAGTTGATGCTGGCATAACAGACTGCCACTGTCACAGCTGTTAGCAGTAATGCATTACAACCCTGAAGTTAATCACTATTTCCTGCTTCCTTAGGAATATGTGTGTCTTCTGATCAAAATCATTTCCGAGGAGAAATTGAGGAAACCATCACTGAAAGCTTTGGTAATGATCATAGCACCTTGGATGGGTATTCCAGAAGAACCACCTTGTCTTCAAAAATGTATCACACCAAAGGTAAGGATGTTAAGACTCATTCTTAGCACATCAGAAGTGTCTTTTGAATTATTTTAGTGAAACGATGCAGGTTTAACAGTAACTATGTACTTTTTTCCTACTGTCTTCTCCTTCGTAGGACAAGAAGGTTCTGTTTGTCTCCGGTCATCAGACTGTGCCTCAGGATTGTGTTGTGCTAGACACTTCTGGTCCAAGATCTGTAAACCTGTCCTGAAAGAAGGTCAAGTGTGTACCAAGCATAGGAGAAAAGGCTCTCATGGACTAGAAATATTCCAGCGTTGTTACTGTGGAGAAGGTCTGTCTTGCCGGATACAGAAAGATCACCATCAAGCCAGTAATTCTTCTAGGCTTCACACTTGTCAGAGACACTAAACCAGCTATCCAAATGCAGTGAACTCCTTTTATATAATAGATGCTATGAAAACCTTTTATGACCTTCATCAACTCAATCCTAAGGATATACAAGTTCTGTGGTTTCAGTTAAGCATTCCAATAACACCTTCCAAAAACCTGGAGTGTAAGAGCTTTGTTTCTTTATGGAACTCCCCTGTGATTGCAGTAAATTACTGTATTGTAAATTCTCAGTGTGGCACTTACCTGTAAATGCAATGAAACTTTTAATTATTTTTCTAAAGGTGCTGCACTGCCTATTTTTCCTCTTGTTATGTAAATTTTTGTACACATTGATTGTTATCTTGACTGACAAATATTCTATATTGAACTGAAGTAAATCATTTCAGCTTATAGTTCTTAAAAGCATAACCCTTTACCCCATTTAATTCTAGAGTCTAGAACGCAAGGATCTCTTGGAATGACAAATGATAGGTACCTAAAATGTAACATGAAAATACTAGCTTATTTTCTGAAATGTACTATCTTAATGCTTAAATTATATTTCCCTTTAGGCTGTGATAGTTTTTGAAATAAAATTTAACATTTAATATCATGAAATGTTATAAGTAGACATACATTTTGGGATTGTGATCTTAGAGGTTTGTGTGTGTGTACGTATGTGTGTGTTCTACAAGAACGGAAGTGTGATATGTTTAAAGATGATCAGAGAAAAGACAGTGTCTAAATATAAGACAATATTGATCAGCTCTAGAATAACTTTAAAGAAAGACGTGTTCTGCATTGATAAACTCAAATGATCATGGCAGAATGAGAGTGAATCTTACATTACTACTTTCAAAAATAGTTTCCAATAAATTAATAATACCTACCTAAATGGTCAATATTTTTCGGACAAGGAAGAAAATCATCCACAAAAATAATACTCCAAAGTACTTGGTGATTGGCAGGAACAGGATGTGTGCCCATAAATACAGTTAACAAATACATGCAGATTTTGTACCAAACAAAATAATTTGCAGTATCTTGAGTACTACTGCATGCAAAGCAGACTTGTTCTAATTATTTTGGTTTTAAAATAATTATTAATTAAAAATCACAAATCCTTCCTCATTCCACTCTTTTTTTCTCTTGCTAGGTGAGTTTCATATTTCAAGTTTTGTTTAACCTGAAATCTATTGATTGGAATGAGGATACGGATACAGTATTTTAAAGAAAACCCACAGGAATAAAATCTAAATTTTCTTTGCATTTGTACTTGCCAGATTTCATATTGTTTATACTGAGGAAAAGGGAAAGCAAACTTCCCAATTTATACTTTTTCTGTAGTATTCTAAAGTCTGCACCCAAACCACAAAATGCTGCATTTCAGGCCTGCAAAGGATAGTAGTGACTGATCAATCGTGCAAATATTTCCTTAAATAACGCAGATGTACTAGACCGTTTGTTGTTTTTGTGTTTCTGGAAGTGGTTCAATTTCAAGGGTCTCAACCAGTGGGACACAAGCTTTGGTTGGTTCTTCACTGAAAGAGGAACTGGCAGGATGTCTGCTGTTACATTCCTTTTGTCTGGAAGTCTCAGCTTCCTCACCCAGGAGAAACTTTCTTTTTCTACATGCGCTTGTTTTCTGAAGTGCCAGAAAGGCCAATTCTAAGGCCTGCCATGTCCAATAAAGCACAATAAAGGAAAGGAAACAGGAAACTTTTTCTCCAAAAAGAAGAAAGAAGAGCCTTCTGCTTAAGTGGGGAAAGAAGCAAACTTTTAAAGGGCTTTGGTTATTGGATCCCTTCCTTTCTACAGGAACGGACCTCAGTACATTGACCCTAGTGACAGCCTTTCTTGCTTCTCATCTCCAGATGAGAGATGTGTGGAAGAATACAAAACCAACCAGAGGGATGCCTCTTCTTCCTATCCAGCTGAGAAATTAGGAAGGGATTTCTGTTAAAAAGAATTCTTCATATTTATAAAGGTGGAAAATACCAAGAAAATTGTAGGTTTTTATTAGCTAGTAATAGAGGCTAGACGATGGAAATCAGATAAAATACAAATTCAAAAGAGGATTATTTAAGGAATCTAGAACAATTTGGGTAATGATTGTTTAAAATGTCTGTTGTTGTTGCTGTGTGACTTTTAAACAATGTATTTTAACGGAAAATACATGCATCTGGGAAAATTTCACAAGATATTTTATCGAATGTTAGTATACTCTACACGCTGTCCTGCACCTTGCTTTTTTTACTCTATGCGTCTTGCAGATCATTTTATATAATACATAGAGAGGTGACTCATTCTTTTTAAAGGTTACATTAAGTTTGTAGTATGTCAGAATGGCAATACTATAATTGTTTTAACCAGTGACGTTTAAGTTGTTTCCAGATTTTTTGATCTAACAAATAATGTGTCATGAGTATAGAATTTTTATGTTCATGTACTAGTATAGTTATAGGATGACTCATATTTGAAGCAAAGTACAAAACGCATGCTTTCTGTAGCTACTCATAAATTCTGGTATGAGCAAAATGTCAAGATGCTTGCTTATCACCGACCAAGTGATGATTAAGCTCTTGCTAAACTGTATCAAAGGAGAAAAAGGGAAATACAGGCTTATCCTAACAATTTCACAGTGAACAGTAATCTCTGGCATTCAGTTAAAGCTAGACTTGTTCTAATTACTTTGATTTTGAAATTATTATTAAATAAAATCACAAGCCTTTTCTCACCACTCCCTTTTCTTGTTTTGCTAGAAGAGTTGAATATTTCAAACTTTGTCTAATCTACTGATAAGAATGAGCCTGGCCCTTCACTTTTAAATTGGTGACATTATCAAACTTTATCATACTACCAACTTTCTTTTACGGTCTTAGAGAAAAATAGACAATACTACCATTAGGCTTATAAAGTGTCTTCCACTGAGTTCTATGATTGCAATTTTCATACCTTCTAAAATACTATTCTGAGGACAATATTAAAATATAAAAGAAATACCTTATCTTTACCTTAAAGAAGAAGAAAATAATCTCGTAATTTAAGCATTCAATGTTTGTACAAAAGTGTGTGTACGTATGTGGTCCTTTATATATTGAGTGTAAGGGTTGACAGCTTAGAAATAGTTAATCACATCAAAAATCTAGGACTACAATCTAGGTAATGCTAAGAAATTTTAATTCCATATACCTTTATTTAGTCTGCCACATCCAGTGGGCACTATGCTAGCATTTGAAAAGATGCATATAATATTGGCCTTTAACTTCAAAGAACTTAGTCTTTAGCAAGGGAGATGATGAACATTAGTGCTGGAAGTTGATTTAGTATAGTGGTTAGAAACAGTCTCTAGAATTGGATAGATTTGGGATTGAGTCATGGCTCCCTCAGTAATGTAGATGTGAGACTAACGCATGCATCAGAATACTATTATGTCTAGCTCAATGTAGGCACTCAATTTTAGGTCTTTACTACTGGACAATGAAATGTATATATTATATTATGTCGTATTATCTTACATACATTAATACCTGACAACAGATTAAAATTAATTAAATCAGCCTGTAATTGCTCAGAAAAAGCTTCAGAGAAGAGGTAGTATTTGAACCATCACCTTCTCTTGCGCTTTTATTTCAAGGAAGAAAAAGCACTTAAACTAGAAAAAGCAAAAAGGAGACATGGGTTGATACCGCTCATAAAAATCAGGACGGAAAGCATTCTGCAGACTCACTTGTGATTTCTGTTCCATTGTAATTTGCAATGTCTATCACTTGCCATGCTGACAAGCAAAATTCTGTCCCCAGTATATGTAATCATCCAGTGCAGTTCTGCTCAGTAAATTGCTTAGCCTTTCAGAGACTCCTACTCCAAAATCTTGGGTGAGGGTTCTGATTAGCTTATCTTTAATCAGGGGTCCATCTCTGGTTCAATTGTCTAGCATAGCTACTCAGTTCGTAATATATAAACACAGCTGTCTATATCCATTCTGCCTGTAATAGGAACTATAGTAGTTCTACAAGAGGAATGTGTAGGGACAAATCCCACATCTCAGGTCTATCACAAATTAGTTTTGAAGGATGAGAAGGCATTTACAAGGTAGAAAAGAAGAGAAAGAGTTTCCTTCCTATTGGAGACAGAGGAAGAAGTGTGAGCAAAATTATGGAGTTATAAAAATAAAAATACATAATATATTGAGAAAATAAGTAATATCCCACTGTGGCTAGATTTGGGGGTAGCTAGGAAGAGGATTTTTCTGATTTTTGGTTATATAATTTCTTACCCAGAAAAAATAGACTACTACAATTTTTTATTTTCAGCAACAGTTACTGTGTTAGGTGGCAACGCAATTGAAGAGGATATATTTGAGACATATTTTGTCTGAAAAAATTACAGATGTCACAAACTACAGTGATTTTTTACCAAAAAATTACAAAATAAGGATATTATTTTGTTTCCAGCAATAGTTGTTCCATTAGATTTCAATTAAAGTAAATAATACAAATAATACATTACAAATAATGTAAATAATACCTTTCACAAACACGGTGGATTTTTTGCCAAAAATTTATAAATCCTAATAATGTGACATAGACCCTAAATATTAGCATATGAAAAATTACCTTGCAAGGGCAATGATAACGAACACCCTGCTGTTTAAAACTGCTGAACAAATTCTATAGTAAAAAGTAAAATTGGCAGAAGGCATCAAACATGGCTTATCTTGATAAATTCATATTACGTTTTATAATATTTCACAATCTTTCTCCTGATGAGCAAAAAAAATACTTTTAAAAAGCATCCTGTATGGAAACTTTTCACATATCTGTGATACTCCGAAGTTCAAATTAAAAGCAGAAAATGATAGAGGCATATCTTGTTATATTGTGCTTCACTTGATTTTTTTTTTATAAATTGAAGGTTTGTATCAGCTTCGCATTGTGCAAGTCTATTCGTGTCATTTTTTCCAACAGCATGTGATCATTTCATGTTTCCATGTCACATTTTAGAAACTTTTTCGGCCGGGCGCGGTGGCTCACGCCTGTAATCCCAGCACTTTGGGAGGCCGAGGCGGGCGGATCACGAGGTCAGGAGATCGAGACCATCCTGGCTAACATGGTGAAACCCCGTCTCTACTAAAAATACAAAAAATTAACCGGGCGTAGTGGCGGGCGCCTGTAGTCCCAGCTACTCGGGAGGCTGAGGCAGGAGAACGGCGTGAACCCGGGAGGCGGAGCTTGCAGTGAGCTGAGATTGCGCCACTGCACTCCAGCCTGGGCGACAGAGCCAGACTCCGTCTCAAAAAAAAAAAAGGAAACCTTTTCATTATTATTATATCTATTATGGTGATCTACAATCAACTTTAAGGTTACAATTGTAATTGTTTTGGGATACTATGAGTTGCGCCCATGTAAGACAGCAAACTTAACTGACAAATGCATGTGTTCTGACTGTTCCACTGACCAGCCATTTTCCCATCTCTCTCCCTCTCCCCCTCCCCGTGCCTTCGGAGTCCCTGGGACACAACAATATTAAAATTAAACCAATTAATAACCCTACAATGGCCTCTTAAGTGTTTAAGTGAAAGAAAGAGGTGCACATCTCTCACTGTAATGAGGAAGGCATGTGGAAGCTGAAATAGGCCGGAAGCTAAGCCTCCTGGGCCAAAGAGCCAAATTGTGAATACAAAAGAAAACTACTTGAAGGAAATTAAAAGTGCTACTCTAGTGAGCACACAAGAGATAAGGAAGTACAACACCCTTGTTGCTGATATGGAGAAAGTTTGAGTGATCTGAATAGAAGATTCAACCAGTCACTACATTCCCTTAAGCCAAAGACCAATCCTGAGCAAGGCTCTAGCTCCCTTCAATTCTGTGAAGGCTGAGAGAAGTGAGGAAGCTGGAGAAGAAAAGTTGGATGCTAGCAGAGGTTGGTTCCTGACATTCAGGGAAAGAAGCTCTCTCCATAACACAAAAGTGCAAGGCGAAGCAGCAAGTTATCCAGAAGAGCCGCTAAGATCATTGATTAAGGTGGGTACACTAAACAACAGATTTTCAGTGTACATGCAACAGCCTTCTGTTGGAAGAAGATGCCATCTATGACTTTTATATGTAGAGAAGAGAAGTCAGTTCTTGGTTTCAAAGCTTCAGAGGACAGTCTAATTCTCTTGTTAGGGGCTAAAGGAGCTGACGACTTTCAATGAAAGCCAATGATAATTTACCATTATGAAAATCCTAGGGCCCTTAAGAATTATACTAAATCTGCTCTGCCTGTGCAATATAAATGGGTGGAAAAACAAGGCAAAGCCTGGATGACAGCACATCTGTTCACAGAATGGTTACTGAATATTTTAAGCTCACTGTTGAGGGTTACTATTCAGAAAAAAATTCTTTGAAAATGTGACTGCTCATTGACTATGCATCTAGTCACCCAAGAGCTCTAATAAGGATGTACAAGGAGGTTAATGTTTTCATGCTTGTTAACACAACATCCATTCTACAGCCCATGAATTAAGGTATAAATTTTGACTTTCAAGTCTTATTATTTTGGAAATACATTTTATAAGACTATAGTTACCATAGTTAGTTATTGCTCTGATGTATTTGGGCAAAGTAAATTTATATGGAAAGAATTTGCCACCATAGATGCCATTAAGAACATTCATGATTCATGGGAGGAGGTCAAAATATCAACATTAACAGGAATTTGGAAAAAGTTGATTCCAACCTTCATAAATGGCTTCGAGGGGTTCATTCAAGACTTCAGTGGAGGAAATTACTGCAGATGTGGTAGAAGTAGCAAGAGAACCAAAATTAGAAGTGGAGCCTGAAGAAGTGACTGAATTATTGCAATCTTATGATCAAAGTTGAATGGGTGAGGAGTTGGTGCTCATAGATGAGCAAAGAAAGTCATCCTTTGAGACAGAATGTGCCCCTGGAGAAGATGCTGTGAATATTGTTGAAATGACAATGAAAGATTTAGAACATTACATAAATTCAGTTGATAAACAAAGTCAGAGTTTGAGAGAATGGACTCCAATTTTAAACGGAGTTCTACTGTGAGTAAAATGCTATCAAACAACATTGTACACTACAGAAAAAACTTTTGTGAAGGGAACGGTCAGTCACTGTTGAAAACTTCATTGTTGTCCTGTTTTCAGAAATGGGTACAGCTAACCTAATTCTGAGCAACAACTACCCTGATCAGTCAATAGCCAACAACAATGAGGCAAGACCTTCCACTAGCAAAAAGATTACAACTTGCGGAAGGCTCAGGTAATCATTAGCATTTTTAAGCAATAAAGTATTTTTTAACTAAGGTAAGTACTTTTTTTTTTTAACATATAATGCTATTGTGCATTTAATAGGCTACAGTATAGTGTCAATGTAACTTTTAGATGCCCTAGAAAACCAAAAACATCGTGTGACTTGCTTTATTATGATACTCACTTTATTGTGGTGGTCTAGAACTAAACCTACAATATCTCAGAGGTATGCCTGTGACTAGTCTGGGCATAAGTGCAAAAATCCAGGCACTCATTCATATACTGCTAGTAGGTACTGCAATTAGCATACCTTTCTGAAAAGCAATTTGGCTGTGCTTAAAATGTGAAAACTCTTTGATGCAGTCATTTCTGGAAATTTATTTTAAGAACAGAAACATGGATGTATAAAAATCCATCTACAATGGTATTTTAATAGCAAAAATTGAAAACAAATTACATGTTTAAAGTATAGAACAGTTTAGATAATGCAGTTATGTTATTAAAGTATTCTGTAATAATTAAATTAATATGGAGAAACATTTGGAATTCTCTATGTACAAATATTTGAAAAAAGCATATTTCAGAACATGCATGGTATGTTATAAATTACTTAGAGTAACATCTCATATCTAATCTAACCCTAGATGGCTTATCTGGGAAGTAGGATTGTGGGAACTAATCTCTTTTCCTTTTTTTTTTTTTTTTTTTTGCTGAGACAGAGTCTTGCTCTGTCACTCAGGCTGGAGTGCAGTGGCATGATCTCGGCTCACTGCAACCTCCACCTCCCTGCTTTAAGCGATTCTCTTGCCTTAGCCTCCTGAGTAGCTGGGACTATAGGTGAGCACCACCATACCCGGCTTAGTTTTGTATTTTTAGTAGAGACAGGATTTCACCATATTGGCCAGGCTGGTCTCAAACTCTTGACCTCAAGTGATCTGCCTGCCTCGGCCTCCCAAAGTGCAGAGATTATAGGCGTGAGCCACCACACCCAGTCTTTTTTCATTATTTTCCACTTTTTCTATAAAAATCAGGGAAGACATTACTATTATTAAATGTAAAGGTAGGACAGAACTTGAGTTTTTCTCATAAACTTTCCTATACATTGAGCAGATAGCTTGATGTGTCTCATTCTAATTTTAAAAATTACTGTTATTGCAGAATTACTCTTCTTTGAATTTCCCAAAACTGCAGGAAAGAAAAACATCCTGGTCGGTCACGGTGGCTCTAGCCTGTAATCCCATCACTTCAGGAAGCTGAGGCAGGTAGATCACCTGAGGTCAGCAGTTCAAGACCAGCCTGGCCAACATGGCGAAACCCTGTATCTACTAAAAATTCAAAAATTAGCTGGGCGTGTTGGCAAGTGCCTGTAATCCCAGCTACTCAGGAGGCTGAGGCAGGAGAATCGCTTGAACTGGGGAGGCAGAGGTTGCAGTGAGCGGAGATCATGCAACTGCACTCCAGCCTGGGCAACAGAGTGAGACTCCATCTCAACAACAACAAAAAAAGAAAAAGCGTGAAAAACATCTTTCACTTACTGACCAAATTTCTTTCCATTCAAAAAATACTGACTGGGAGAACTGCAGCTAGTATAGAGAAGACCTGCACCAAGCAGTTCTTGAATAAAAGATTAAATGAATGAAACAGAAATAGGAATAGCTGTGCCAGCTTCAGCAAAATTACAACAAAATAGAACATACAAAAACAAATACTTTAAAATATCCAAAAGAAGGAACACAGAGTAAGCAAAATAAAAATCACAATTCTGTTATAATAGATATACTCTTTTTGTATGATCTTCTATGTCCATGTTTATTTTGTCAACAATTATATGTTGCAATGAACTGTCTGACATGTTGCTTGTCTTATAAATATATAAGCCATTTTAGTGTTTAGTTTTTGACATCTTTATTGGTGAGAAAAATCTCACTTTTCTCTTCCTGACAATAGTTAATACTTTCAGACAGCTTGGCTTATACTCTTGTAGGCAGGCAGATTGAATTTCTTTGCTAATTTAAACAGCTAGTGACACAGAAGAGGATGGAAATTATTTATTCTGGAAGCTCTGCACATTTCAGTTTTATAAGCAGCCTTGGTTATCTTCTCGATCAAGTTCTGCTAAGTGCTATCATGTCTTGACACTTAGGTGGCATATTGCAGAAAATGTTTAATAGAAACAATCAAACAAACAAAGAAATAAAAACTGAGACTTCCACTGCCCTAATACTGGTTCATTTTCAACAAAATTGGGAAACTGGTAAAGTTTTTTTCTCATATTAACCCTTCATTCAACAACTTTCTCCTTGCTGCTCACACAATCTCTCTCCCTCTAAGGAAACCTATTCCTATTTTTCTAGTTTTCAATGATCACTTTTCATCCCTTTCCCTCACTTCTTTCATAAGCTTTCAATGTTTTAATTTAAAAAAATTAATTCTAGCTAGCTAGACTTTTGCATCAGTACCCTTCTAGACCTGTCCTTTTAGTCATACACCTTGTGGCAGAAACTATTACCAAACCGGTTGCCTTTTCCTCCTGAGCACATTTCCCAGCCTCCCTTGCAATTAGATGTGGCCACATGACTGAGCTTGGCCAATGGCATGTGTGCCTGAAGACCCTCCTATAAGCACTTCCATTCCTCCACGCAGCATCATCTGCAGATATTAAGCAGACAATGACAGCCCTGTGATTAAGAGGCAGAGACTCTCTCAGCCTTGGTTTCTAAATAATAGGATGAGCTGATTCTCCTTGCCCCCACCCCAACTTATGTGAGCAAGAAATAAACATTACTTGTGATAAGCCAAGGAGATTTATCTTTTATTTTTTATTTTTTTAGTTTTTATTTTTTACTTCGATAATACATACCTCAAACTTTAATTTTCTCCTTCCTTCTCTTCAGTCTTGTGTCAAATTCTGCCGCCTTGCATGTCTATGTCAGAAGCCTGCCACTGGGAAAACTAGATGTTCTGATAAAAAAGTATGTGAAATTGTGCAGTGCAATTGATTTAACATTGTTGACATTTATATGAAAATGTGAAAGCCTACAGCATTGTGTTTGACACATAGTAGGAATTCAATTAATATTTTTACTTTTCATATTTTGAAACTTTTGCAAATAAAACCTCCTTTCAACCAAGTGACACAATTGGCAGAAAATGCTGATGATAAGTATAACTTTTTGGAGCATGTTTTAGGTACCAGAGACTATTGTTGTGTTTCACATATATTTACTAATTTTATTCTCACAATAACTCTATGAAGGATGTGTGTTTATCACTCCTGTTTTACAGATGAGATAACTTGGGCAAAGAAAGTTTGAGGTATTTATCTGAGTTATGTAGGTACTAAGCGACAGAACCAGAATTTGGAACCAGCTTGTCTGCTCCAAAGTCCAGGCTCTTACTACTAATAAGGCTAAATATTCAACCATCTAAAGCTTTCTGTAGCCCTTAAGTTACTTATACGGTTACAGTAAAAGTAGGGTAAAAATGTATCTGCTGATTTGTAAAAATGCAGCATCTCAAGTTTCTGAATTGAGAAACTTCTTTTCATGAAGTTTCATTAAAAATATATTTGAAAATATGGCAGATCACTTGAGTCCAGAAGTTCGAGACCAGCCTGGGCAACATTGAGAAACCTCGTCTCTACTAAAAATACAAAAATTAGCTGGGGGTAGTGCCACACACCTGTAGTCCCAGCTAGTTGGAAGGCTGAGGCATGAGAATCGCTTGAACTTGGGATGCAGAGGTTGCAGTGAGTCAAGATTGTGCCACTACATTCCAATCTGGGTGACAGAGTGAGACCCTGCCCCAAAAAAAAAAAAAAAAAAAAAAAAAAAAAAAAAAAGAAAGAAAGAAAGAAAAGAGAGAGAGAGAGAGAGAGAGAAAATATAATGCCCTATGGTTTTTGTGTGTTTAAATAAAAAAGGAATAAAAGGTAGGATTAATGAAACTGTGAAAGTAAACTCTTTTAAAGCTAAAAATAGTATGATCTCTTTCTTGATTAGAGAGAGAGAATTAATTTAGTGGGTGAATTACCAGGAAAGCTTACCTCACTGTTAGGTTGTTATGTTATTTCTCTCATCTAAGAGGATGCTTTCTGCATAGTAACATTATATTACAAAACACATTATGATAAAAATCCTGCATTTAAGGACAGTTACTGAGTCACCTATACACATATACTGTGTTCACAAATGTTTTTGTAGTCAGATTATAGTTGCTCTTCCTTTAAGTATATCTTTCAAATTATACCTTCTGTGGTGACAAGTACATTTATGGCTACAATTTGCTATTTATTAACAAATGACGACTGAGTAGTTTTAACTTTCAGAAGAAGAAACAAAATCTGGTATAATTATATCATGGATTCATCCTAAAGAGCTAAAAATAGTGAAAATACACACAAGAAAGATACCTAAATTCACTGTTTTTTAAGTGCTTGTTTTTCTAAGAGCACAAAACTCATGATAGACTTATAGCTCTGAGGTGGAAATTAGAGTCAGGGTTGAATTTTTGCATAGTTTTAGGTTTTAGGATAATTCAGCAATTATCCTAAACAAAGTGAAGGTTATTTAACAAGCGGTCATTCTGCTACAACCGTTATTGACTCCAATGTGGATGAGCTGTTGGTGCACAGTACTGTGAACACTATTTCAATTTGCTTGTTAATTCAGGATGCTGTAATTACATTTCAGTGGTGATGTGTCTTTGTGGATTTTATATGCCAGTTGAAGATCAGGAGAAGTCAAGATATTCCCAGATATGTTCCTGATTATATTTCAAAATGGGTGATCATGTTATAGCTTCCTCAGACAAGTGGTTCCCAAACTCAGCTCATCATCTTCTGAAACACCTGGGAAACTCTTTAAAATTATAGATTCTGGGAGCCTTCCAAGTCTACTGAATCAGAACCTCTTAGAATTGAGCCTTTGCATCTGTATTTTTTTAAAGCTCTTCCATTGATTGCTATTATACATCTAATTTTGAAATCCACTGTGACATGGCCTTTAATCAAAATGCTTTACTCTAAACAGTATGGCCATATAGGGACTATGTGCAGAGAAAGAAATGATTGGCTGAGCACTTATCCTGAGCTAGTACTTGGGCTTGGGTAAATATATCATTTCATGTGATCGTTGTAACAGTCATGGCAGATATAATAAATGTTCACTATATCTACAAGGCAACAAGACAAAGAGGTGCTGAGAGATAAACTGATGTCCTTAATGTCACATGGCTAAGAAGTAATAGAATGATGACAGATCTGGATGCTTATTGTGCCAAAGCTTACTTTATATCAATGGCAACGAAAATGGTAACTTACTTTTATATCGCGTGTTAGTGTTTACTTTCTATGTTTGCAGATACCTCTTTGACAAAACACATTTTATAGATTTTTCAAACTTGGGATAAGAGGAACTCAAACTGAAATAAACTAAGGTTCTTAACTGTAGTCATTCTGATTTTCCTCTAGTACTCATTTCAACTGATGAAGTCTTACCTTATATTTTAAAGGGAAGTCTTCCCTGACCCAACATTGTATCACAGGCCAAGTCAGGTAATTTATGTGGGCTCATAAATTATTTTTCATAGCTCTTATTCTAATTCTAACAAACTATTTTTATATTTATTTATTAAGTGGATTTCAACCCCATCAAACTGTAATCTTCATGAGTGCAAAGAGCTTGGTTATTCTTCAATCCATAGCACCCAATTCTGGGCTTACCCTATAGTAGTTGCTCAATAAAGACATGTTGAATGAATCAGTAAACACCTATGCTATTTCCCCTGAATGGATTTGCCACTATATTATTCATAATACACATAAATATACCAAAAATTTTGAAATTTTGTACTAGAAATTTTGTAGTTTTATTTATTTATTTATTTATGGAGTCTCACTCTGTTGCCCAGGCTGGAGTGCAGTGGCATGGTGCAATCGTGGCTCACTGCAACCTCCGCCTCCCGGGTTCAAGTGATTCTCCTGCCTCAGCCTCCTGAATAGCTGGGACTACAGGCCTGTGCCACCATGCCCGGCTTTTTTTTTTTTTTTTTTTTGTATTTTAGTAGAGATGGGGTTTTACTGTGTTAGCCAGGATGGTCTTGATCTCCTGACCTCGTGATCCGCCCACCTCTGCCTCCCAAAGTGCTGGGATTATAGGTGTGAGCCACTGCACCTGTCCATTTTGTGTTTTTATTAACTACCTACTCTTTGTATATATAAAATAGTTACTCATAATTAAAACAGACAAAAATTACTTCCTGAGTTTATTATTAAATATTACTCATAATTAAGTAAAATGCAGACAAAACTGCGTCCTGATTTTATTTATTATTTCTTGTCATTATTGCTGAACTTGGATAATTTTTAATGCACAAATATAATCTTAAAAGCAGGAATTAATCACAAAGAAATATATTAAAAATAATTTCTTGTGATGTAAAATACTCCCATGTATTTTGCTATTTGCATTGTATAATGATTAGATGGTTTTGAGAAGATGAATGGCTTGTCTTATTTTGGCTTTCATAAAAAGAAATTTTACTTGCAATTGTAATTCACATTTACTGAGACAAAATAACCCTGTAGTCCTGACTAGCCTAACTTGTTCCTGTAGGTTGACCATATAACAGATCCTTTCACCATAAGGAAATCTACCTTTTTTAAATGGAGATGGAATGATATTTTCAACACCTTGTAATTCATGCAATAGCCCTAGCTAAATTAAAACAAATTCTATGGATGCCATTAATCAGTGGTGTTCTAATTTTATCTTCACATTAGGATCATCTGGGGACTTTGAAAAACTAACTCGTGCCTGTGACCCACTCCCAGAAAATGTGATTGATTGGTTTGGAGTATGGCCTAGGCTTCAAATTTTTTAAAAGATTGATGGTTTATCTTAATGTACACAAGTTTGGGGACTACCTTTATTAGTTTCTGTCTTCCTCAGACAAGATAGCAGAAATACGGATGTTTCTGCCTTAATCTTGGAATAGATTTGTGGAATGCCCTGTTGACTCTGAAAGTGGAATTTAGACATTGAATTTCCTGAATTTGCCTGCAAAGATTGCAAGTTAGAAAAGGGAATTCCAAGGTGTCTCTTAAACTTGGAGGTCTTTGGTAACCTATATGTCAAAGCCTAAGACTAGGGAAGTTTTGATAGCAAATTTATCAGTGAGTAGGGAAGCGAATAAGAATTAAATATAGACTTTAAAATATCTCTTATACCTCCACCTCTCAAAACATAGCCGAGTTGAATAGGATGATTATAATCCTATATTACCTAAAAGGTGGGATTTAAAATGAGTTTAACATAATATGATTTATTAGCTGAAGAGATAATAATAGCAAGTTTTAGTGAAGTACCAGTTATGTCATCTCGTAATGAAGACATTTACGATCCAAGAGGGAATATTTACATTAACACCATTATTAATATTACTGTGTGCTGACTTCACAAAATTCCCAAAGCATGGAATGCAATTTAAAAATCAATGGTTTCTTTTGTGCACTTGTACCCTAGAACTTAATGTATAATAATAATTGTTTCTGTGCCTAAAGAGACATTTAAAAGCTGTTGAAATTTTGAAAAGCTTGTGGTCTTAAAAATGGCTGAAATCAGTGTTCTAACAGCACATATTTAAACATGTGGCCATAAAGCATTTCTTCTTTCCTCTCTTCCTTCCTTCTTTTTCTTTCTTCCTTCTGCACGCTCTCTCTGTCTTTCTCCCTCTCTCTTTCTTTCACTCTGAATGACACATATCCCATCACCATGAAAGCCTTGTGTGCAACTGCCAGTTGACACGGGCCTATTGTGGAAGGCATAGAGAGTATGCAGAAAGTTAAGTACCAAAGAAAGAAAAACAGTAAACCACTTGCTTAAGCTGATCTAGTGTTTTCTATTCTTTGGACTCTAGGTTCTAAATAATTGAACCTTGATCTCATTTGAGGTGAGGAAAATACACACACACAGGTGGCCTAACTTCTAATTATTTCATTCCCAGTGAAAGGCGCAGGTGTCAAAGTCTTAAGGATTCTGATCCTTCATTTAGTGCACTAAATCTTTTTTCTTTCTTTTACACAAAGCACTGAACTTCCCTGTTAATCCAAAGTGATGTCTGTGGCTCCTTTCCCTCTACACTGTCACTTATACTAACTCCTTTGGCTGTTATGATTTGTTGTGGCTGCTACTGCTGCTTTGAAACCTCTGAAATTTTCTAGGACCCTGGTTCTCAGTCTTTCACTGCTTATTGGATCACTTGGGCTTCTCTAAAAACTACCAATGCTCATGTCCCACCCATGGAGATCCTGCTGTTATTGATATGGAGTGTAGCCTAAGCATTGGGAGTTTTTAAAGATTCCCAGGTAATTCTAATGTGCTGCAAAGTTTGAGAACCACTGTTCTAGGAAGTGGTATCTGTTACCGGTTTCCTTGCCCAGTGCTGACCTTTTCTAGTTTTGACCTTTCATTCATGAATATTTTATTGGTTTTATTTTTCAATGAGAGTACATAGTAGGAGGGAATCGTCAGCTGCATTAGCCTGTTGAGTGTTATATCAACTTATCGTACCTACTTTTAGTATAACTGGGCTTGGGGCTTGCATAAAAATGGGACTATTGGCCGGGCACGGTGGCTCATGCCTGTCATTCCAGCACTTCGGGAGGCTGAGGCGGGTGGATCACGAGGTTGGGAGTTCAAGACCAGCCTGGCCAATATGGTGAAACCCCGTCTCTACTAAAAAAAAAATACAAAAATTAGCTGGGCATGCTGGTGCACACTTGTAGTCCCAGCTACTCGGGAGGCTGAGAGGCAGGAGAAGCTCTTGAACCTGGGAGGCAGAGGTTGCAGTGAGCCGAGATCATGCCACTGCACTCCAGCCCGGGCGACAGAGTGAGACTTCATCTCAAAAAAAAAAAAAAAAAAAAAGGACTATTGCAGGATATGTATGTGTTCACCACATAGTACAGGAAATGCCAGAATATAATCTGACAACTGCTTATCCCATTATGCAAACAAATACTTAAAAATGAAACATTAAGTATACCCAGACAGAACTGTAAACATTTCTGATTCTGAATCTAAAGAACTTATTAACCACAATTGATTATATAATGAGAACAAATTCTTACCTCTATCCGGAGAAGACATAATGACTTAAAATCAAATATTTAAGTAGTAATAATGATGCAAGTTATAGTGTAACTACATTAACCAAGTTTTACTCATTCAGGCTTTGCAATTCTGAAATGGCACAGTATTTCTTATTGCATTTGAATTGATTTTTTAAAATCTGTGGAATTTATTAAAGCAAGAATAATTCATAATAAAATCATTGTTTTCAAATGGTTTTTATGAAATGAGAATTCTGGGCTAAGCTATTCCCTTATAGTAGTTATTGGATAAACACCATTATAGCAACAGAAACCAAAATGAAAGAAAATTTGAAAGGTAGCCATAAAACCCCATCAAGGTATGGTACTTTTGTAGTTGAAGGTTCCCTTGCTATATTTGTGTCTACAGGCAAGTATTTTACCAATAATTCCTGTAGGCAAAAATTCTGCTTCATTATAAAATGATATATTGTTATGTAGGCCTTCCATAAGTTAAACTTTTTGTTGATATGCCTCATTTTATTTATTAATACTGATATCTTAGTTTATAAGAGATACTACTCTGGAAAGATTATAAGATGCATTTTTTTTTAAAAGAGTCCCCCAAAAGCAAACCTCTCCTAGTTTCTAAAAAGTAGTGAGGCTTTGTTATGTTTTAAAATATGCTTACTTTTGAACTTTGTTATTTATTTTACTTCACCTCCTTTTATTTTATTTTTTGTAGAGACAGGGTATCACTATGTTGCCCAAGCTAGTTTTGAACTATTGTGCCTCATTTTATTTTAATTCAGAAGCAATATATAAATATGTTTTTGTTGTAAAAAATTGAAAAAATATAGTTTGAAATTCTTTATGATTTCTTCTACCCAAAAACCTTCATTTCCCTAGTTATAACTTTTAAGCATTTAATAGCTATCCTTTCAGTACAAATGAGACAGTCTTATATTCAACGGCTCTGAATTCCTTTTAATACAGTGAATATGACTTGGAGCATTTTCAAAGTGATATATGAAAGCTTGGCCATCTCTTATGTAAAGGCTGCATGCTATTCTATAGCTCAGATGTTCCTGGGTTATTCTTCATTTCCATCTTGATTGATCATATGCATGCAATTTTGCATGTTTTCAAACAATGTGGTACTAAACATTCTTATACATTTCTTTATGTGTTCATATAAGTTTTGCTAATGGGTCTTTCACTTCAACAGGTGATACATATTGCTAATTGCCTTCCAATAGTCTCTGCCATATTATACTCCTACTATCAGTGTTTGAGCAGGTAGTCAATTCCTTGCATTTTTCCTAGTGGTAATAATACCAATCTTTAATTTTCAAAAAATGAATAGGTGAAAATAGTTCACATATTGTTTTTATTCACTTTTCATTGCTTATTAATAAAGTAAACTTTCTTTAAAGTGCTTATTGTCCATTCATATTCCTTTTCTGGAATACACAATCTTTTTCTACCAGGAACCAATACGCAGTCCTTACTATAGTATCAGATTGTCTGATGATATTTATCTAGATCTCACAATCCTATTTTTAATAATAATAGTAGCCTTCTTCAAAGAGGGCTTCCTGTTTCAGAATCACCAAAATGCTTATGTAAAGTGTAAATTCCAGAGTTTCTGGGTGAGTCATAATACCTGGGTGTGAGGACAGGAAATCTGCCTTTTAAGTAAATCCCTCAGAAAATTCTATGAACACTATGTTCATGAGGAGTAAATTAGACATGCTTTGGATTTTCTTTTTTTAAACAAAATAAAAAAGCAAAGTGAAGAATATGTTGGGTTAAAGAAGACATAAATTCTTTAGTTTCCATGGGAAAAAAACTGACACAAATTAAACTTAATGATATTCATAAGATCTCTGCAAGTGGCAAACAAGTTGGATACTTTAAAATGTACATTTAAAAATGTTATAATAGCTTACCTCCTGTAAGAGCTGCTCAAGTAATTGCTATTTGTTTTCATAATTAATAGGAACATTCTAATCTCACAGATGATCTTTCTTTTTTTTTCCAAAAAAAAAAGTTGTCTGTGCAGCATGCTCATTGCTAGCAGGATTTCCATCTATGGAAAAGAGGTCCTGGGAAGGCAGGAAGGGGCACTGAGATCTGCATCCATGATGAGATGACATGCTCTGGCCCAGACAGACAAGAAAGGAGAGCTGGGGGACATCTGCTTAGCAGAGACATCACTGAGGAACAAGAGCCAGAGGGAGTGGACAGGGGAGACAGGATGAAGCAGGAGACACTAAGAAAACATCATTACAAAGCGAAAACAAACAAACAAATAAACAAACAAGCTGGGAATGGTAGAGAAAGAAGTGGTAAGGAAAATACATTAACAGTACATTAAATATTTTCTTAATGCTAAATAGTTAGTTCCCAGGTAAATAATTTTATAATTATGGACCCTTCATTGTGATTGGGTTCTGTAATTTTTGAACACTTTTGTAACATCTGACACTTATTTGTATTTGTTTCATTTCTTGCATGACGGTTTTGTGCACTCTTGGTAAGTCATTATTTTTATTATTACAGATATTTTTACTTTATCCTAGAAATTAAACTCTGACATTTCAAAAAGTTGGAACAAGCTTTTGAAATAAAAGTGGCTTCTGATAAATGATTCACTGCTGACATTATTATAATCTTACAGTGATTTCATTTCCTAGTCCTTATTACTTTAAATGTATTTCCCAATGACTCAGGTATGATGAATGCCCTGAATATATTCAATAGAAAATATTTACTAACTGATTGTTTCGAATAAATTGTTAAGTCACCATCTTTAAGGTATTATATGAACTGTGAGAAGGCTTTAATTACTATAATCAGTATTTTTTAAAATAACTGGCACTTACAGAAATAATCTGCTGATTCTCATATTCAGCTCACCTTTAAGCTTTTATCTCCCTTCCAAAATAGGAAGCAACAACTCTTAGATATGATATAGGATACTAGAAGTATGGTTAGAAGCAGGATGTGGGCCAGGCGTGGTAGCTCACGCCTGTAATCCCAGCACTTTGGGAGGTGAAGGTAGGTGGATCACCTGAGGTCAGGAGTTTGAGACCAGCCTGGCCAACATGGAGAAACCCTGTCTCCACTAAAAATACAAAAAATTAGCCAGGCGTGGTGGCGGGTGCCTGTAATCCCAGCCACTTGGGAGGCTGAGGCAGGAGAATCGCTTGAACCCAGGAGGCAGAAGTTGCAGTGAGCCGAGATGGTGCCATTGCACTCCAGCCTGGGCAACAAGAGCAAAACTCCGTCTCAAAAAAAAAAAAAAAAGAAGCAGGTTGCAGAATGTTGCCATGAAAAAAGAGAACAAAAGAGTTTATGATTTCTCAGGATTTTTTTTGAGAAATACCACAATGAAACATATTTTTTTTTTATTGAAGAGGTCTTGTTGGTCAGGCCACACATATGCGTATAAACTTAAGGAAGTTCACAGATTATAATTGCATCCACTTATTACTTCACAGCTATAAGAATGTCTCCAAAATATGTATTGATTCTCTTACTGTTTCTTGAATTTCTATGATGTAAGTATGTTTAGTGATGACCTTGAACTTCTAATTATAGGCTGCAATCTTGATTGTTATTTGGCCTTCATTATTTGTTTATAAAATAAAAGCTGCTAAATTGCCTTCAAATGCTTCCAAGTTAAAAGCATTTTAATGGATATTACCTATTCCTGGATTTAAGGCCTAAACCAAAACTAGCTACTCTAAAATTTATTTGTTAATTCTCCCTATAATTTTTACTTTATAAGAGCTCATACTAATTCCTATATTATCGTGAAAAATAATTCTCTTCAACTAAAACCAAAGACAGTTTATGGATAACTCTTTGTTATGTAATAAAGGGAAAATAATAGGAAAAATTATAACTGTAATTAACTCCTTGTGGTCTACTCCATCTCACTAAATCGAAGAGTGAAAATTGGAACTTGGAGGAACATACAACGGTGGTAATGTAATTGGAAAATCCTCCTATATGGTGTAGCAGAATAAAACACCAGCTCAGATGTTATGGAGACACAAGTTCAAATCTTGGTTCCACTTATGGTGCTTTGTGCAGCGTTTTATTAGCTGCAAAGAAGGAGGAGGAGGAACCTACCTGGCATGATTACTGTATGGAATACATAACAATTATATAATTTAAATATCAATCTGATTACTATTTTTGCACCATAATCATGCTGATAGTGATTATAACCACTGATCATTATGGGTTTCCTATGAATAAGGTACATATAGCATTGCTTAAATTGCTGAATTGACATTTTTACATTGCATTCTTATGACTGTGCTATAAAGAAGATACTCTTTATTGGCTCCATTTTACAGATGAGGATATTGAATCTCAGAGATATCAAGCAAATTGCTCAAGCCCCACAGCATGAAAGTGGTAGAAACAGAATTCAGGTATAAGCATTGTGAGTCCAAAGACTGAGCTCTTAAGAGTTAAACTACACTGCCTCCTTTATTTAATTGCAAAGATCACAAGCATGTGCTTAACACAGCAGCTAAGCGAGAAGTTGATTAAGTGAGGAGCCTCAGCAGTGTAGGATGAATGGATGAGAGTGAAAATAATCTAAGAGGTGGAAGATCATTTAGGAGGCCATTGCAAATGCTGGAGCAGAGAGTCTGAGCTAGGAAATGAAATGATTTTAAAGACATTTTATTGAAATTGTATCGCCTTAGAGTTGGTTGGCTGCCTATGCCACAAGACTGAAGAGAATGGGTACTTAAGTCCATGGTACACTTTATTTGTACCTATCAATGTAACACCCATTGGAGAGTGCAAGGAAGGAGGCTGGAGGGAGAGGAGGAAAGAGAGGAATGGAGAGAGCTGCCAAAAGTTTAGAAAATAAAGTTCCTGCCCTTCACATGGCTTAACATTTCATTGAAGAATCAGTGGACAGAGATTGGAACATGTGAAATGATTGGAGAACAATTGAAGATCACTGGGAATTGCGTGAGACCTCGGCAAAAGGAGAAAACAAAGATAGACAGGTAAGGGGTGGGAAGCCCGGGAATTATGGAATGATAACACTAAAAAGCCCTCAAGACCTGTAATGTAATCCGCTCAGATTGTGGATCACTGAGACTGAATACCAACCAAATCCTAGGGTTTCAAAGCCTCTGCCTGCCTTGTCTCTAGTATCTTCTCTTCCCTGCTTTGCCTTTTGACCTACCATAGTCTGTTCACAAACACAAATTAATTTTATCACTGTTTGAAGAAACCTCTGGGTAAAACAAGCTTTTTGTTTTAAAATGATCCAGCTGCTTGGCATTTTGAAGGCTGCTTTAGTGTTTTCCAGGTGTACTCTGTATTGGCAGACCATCGCCAGTGAGGCTCTTTGAGAATCACCAGAGGAGCTTGGCTCACACGAACATTCCTGGTCCTTGTTTTAGTTAAAGCACTAGTATGTAGTCTGCCTGCCAGGACTCAAACCCAGCTCTACCTTCTGCTAGCTGTGTGAACTCACTATGTGTTCATTTCCTTGGTAAATAGGAACAATGGATAGTACATGTCTTTATAGGGTTTAGGGACAGGACAAAATGAGACAATACCTAAATACAAGGGGTATTAGCAGAATTCTTGGCACATAGTTAAGAATCACTAATTATTATAATTAATTTCTAAAGTGCCAAGGATATTGCTAACAGCATATTTTGTAATTGAAAATTTCCAGTGCAACTGCTGGGAAAAAAGTTGAGAACTGCTGCTGTGATACCTCTTTTCACAGATGCAGATCATGTCCAGGACTCCCAGGCTCCAGGCTTTGCTCTGCCTAAGCTTGTTCAGTCTCCTCTCCAGCTTCCATGCTACTCTTGGGCTGTGCTAGTATCCTATCCATCCTACCAGGTCCAGCTGGATGGATGCTCTAGTGCCAGGCTGGTATTTTCCAAAGTGCAGTCTACCACAAGACCCTTTTGTTTATTGAAATAAGCATTTGTACAACTGTCCTAGCATAAATGGCACCAATAAAATGAAATGTCATGGAGAATCAGAAATACCTTTTTTTAGATTCAAGGTAACTAAATCTGTCTAAACAGTATTTTGCTAAAATGCTAAAATCAGTGATCCATGAAAATGAATGCAGCTTCTAAGCTGTGCTTTGCTGCTTGTTATGTTTTAAAACAAGAGTTGGTGAACTTTTTCTATAAAGGGACACATAAATATGTAGGTTTTGCAGGCCATAATCTGTTGCAGCTACTTTACTCTGCTGTTGTAGTACAAAAGCAGCCATAGACAATGCATAAACAAATGAGTTTAGCTCATTAGTATTGGAGTTTAGCTTTGTTCCAATAGAATTTTATGGACACTGAAATTGAAATTTGTATAATTTTCACATGTAATGAAATATTTTTCTTTTGATCTTTTTTGGTCGTTTAAAATTGTAAAAGCCACCCTTTGCTCAGAGGCTGTACAAAAGCAGGGGGTGGGGTGGATTTGGCTTGCAGGTTGTGGATTGCCAGCTCCTATTCTAAAAATTATTCATTTTTAATTCTAGGAAGACAGGTTGACTAGACGGCAGCATATGACAAAGTCTGGCCACAATATACAGTGCGATTGTCAGCATTAAGCCAGCTTGTACACCGGTGTTCATAGCACCATTATTCATAGTAGCAAGAAGCTGGAAGCAACCCAGTGACCATCAACAAATGAATGGATAAACAAAACATAGTATACACACACAATGGAATATTATTTAGACTTAAAAAAGGAAATTCTGACACACACAACAACATGGATGAACCTTAAGGACATCCAAGAACCTAAGTGAAATAAGCCAGTCACAAAAAACCAAATACTGTACAATTCTAATTATATAAAGTACCTAGAGTGGTTAAATTCATAGAGACAGAAAGTGGAATGGTGATTGCCAGGGGCTGGGAGGGAGGGAGAATAAGGAGTTGATATTTAATGAGTATAGAGTTTTAGTTTTACAAGATAGAATTCTAGAGATTGGTTACACAACAATATGGGTGTACTTAGCTTTATAGAACTGTACAGATGAAAAATGGTTAAGATGGTGAATTTTATGTTTGACTACATTCAAAATATTTTTTTTTTAAAAAATAGGCAGCTTAGTATTTTACACACTTTAAATTACACATTCTATCCAAACTGTGCATATTGATAATTGTTACTTCTCACTATCTCTTTTTAGCCACATTGCTGAAGTAAATTACACTGTTCAGTCCAAAAAGTGCTTTCTAAAACCACCTATACGTGCCAAGGTATCACTTGGAAAGTATGAATACAAGCATGATTAAAATGCAGTTCCCACCTGTGATAGGTTAATTTATGGGCCCCAATTCATCATTCTCCTGTAGTAGTAGTATAAATTCACACCCTTGTCATGGCTTATGGCAAGTTGAGTATAATTCCTTACTCCCTAGCTTTGGGCTTGCCCATGTGACTGGCAGTGGCTTATGGGATGTTGGTGGACTTGAGGACATTGGAGGCTTAAAAAAATGTGCTTGTATTTCTGCCATTGCCAGAAAAATATTTCAGAATGAGACAAATGGAGCAGACACAACTGGACTAGAAGCCAAAAGCCCTGCCCAACCCAGACTAGCCAAGGTTTGCAAAACCCCAATCCATCCACAAACCCTTGAAGATGAAAATGAATGATGTGTTCTTTAAAGCAGTACAAAATTATTATAGTTAGAGGAAAGTGATTTATAGATTATCTTTCAGAAGCATATAGATTAATGTAGGTTCATGGAAATGATTCTATTCTCTTCTCCTAAACTCACCTCCAAAAAGCAGTGGTTCTCAAACTTTAGCAAACATAAGAATAATTTGATGTTGAGCATTCTTCCATACGTTCATTGGCCACTTGTATGTCTTCTTTTGAGAAGTATCTCCTCATGACCTTTGTCTATTTTTAGTGAGGTTATTTGATTTTGCTTAGTGAGGTTATTTGATTTTGCTTATTGAATTAAGTTTCTTATAGATTCTGGATGTTAGACCTTTGTCAGATGCACAGTTTGTGAATATTTTCTCCTATAGGGTGTATGTTTACCATTCTGATAGTTTTTTTTGCTGTGCAGAATCTCTAGTTTAATTAGGTCCCACTTGTCAATTTTTGTTTTCGTAGCAATTCCTTTTGAGGACTTAGCCATAAATTATTTGCCCAAGCTGAAATCCAGAATGGTATTTCCTAGTAAAGATGGGAATGATAAACACAGGGGACTACTAGATGGGGAAGAGAGTAGGGAGGGTAAGGGCTGAAAAACACGGCTAAGAACTATTGGATGCTAAGCTGGGTAAAGGGATAAACCATACTCCAAACCTTAGCATCATGCAATATATCTATGTAACAAATTTGCACATGCACCCCTGAATCCAAAATAAAAGTTGAAATAATAAAAAAAAGAATTGAGAAGCATGTTAAAATTCTGGATTCTCAGGGACCATTTCCAAAGATTCCGACGTAGTAGGCATGGAATAGATGCCAGAAATCTGCACTTTTGTAAGCACCCAAAACAATTCTGATGCAGGAGAACCTAGGTTTGTAATAGTTTTAATTTGTTCTCGTGTATTAGTGAGGGAGAAAGATTTTTGCATGCAAAATCTCACAAGGATGAGAGAGAGTTGATAACAGAAATGCAAAAGAAAACAACATCTGTATTAAAAAATCTGTATGTAATCTCTGAAACTAGGCAAAGTGATCCCCTACCCAGTAAGGTCTGAGAAAATCATGGACACACCAAAGTAGCTCCACAACTCACCTCCTTTGCCTTCTGCTGACCTGAACTTGTCCAGTGGAGTCATTCCTCTAGAGCAGATGGAAGTCCATCTTAATTCCTTCTGTTATTAACACAGTCCTGGGCTCTCAGCAGATCAGAAGTGACTTTCTAAATTCCTCTATAGCTGATATTTCCCCCTCCAGACTTTCCCCTTCCTATTTAGCCTACCTGTCTACTGCCAATCTCCTCATATAACTCTTCTGCCTGAGTATCTACAGTCTCTATTCACCAATTCTTTGGTGTGATAGCCAATACTTATTTAAAATTCTTTATGTTATTTTGTATGACAAAGCAAATGCATTGTTAAGGCTATCACCTCACTGTCACTCAAGTTAGAGGGCTTTTCCATTTCATCACAAGCTTGATTACTTCCATAACACCTTGTATGATAACTGTCTTATTCCTGACCACTCACCACTTTACTATATTTAGCTTAGGTTCTATTTAGCAGTTTCTCAAATACCATATTTTTCCAAATTGGAAAAGTACACTTACATTTGTTTGATGTCTTCTACTAGAACTAGAATATCTTTGATTGCACAGTACTTGGTGAACCAAATTGAATTATAGCATGAAGTTAAAACATATAATGATGGAAATAATAACATCAGCACAAAATAAGAAAAACTGAAAGTTAATTGAGAACTTTCTATGCTCTGGGAAGTATGCTAAGAACTTAATTGCACTTTATGTTTTATTTAATCCTCACAACAACCAAAGAAGAAAGTATTCATAGTATCTCCATTTGACAAATGATAAAACAGAGAGGGGCTGGGCATGGTGACTCATGCCTGTAATCCTAGCACTTTGGGAGGCCAAGGCGGATCACCTGAGGTCAGGAGTTTGAGAACAGCCTGGCCAACATGGTGAAAACCCGTCTCTACTAAAAATACAAAAAATTAGCCTGTCATGGTGGCAGACACCTGTAATCCCAGCTACTCAGGAGGCTGAGACAGGAAAATCGCTAGAACCTGAGGGGCAGAGGTTGCAGTGAGCCGAGATCACACCACTGCACTCCAGCTTGAGCTAAAGAGTGAAACTCTGTCTCAAAACAAAAAACAAAAAACAAAAACAAACAAACAAAAACAGAGAGGACAGGACTTTTCTAAGGTAACAGTGCTTACTGGTAGGAACTTAACTCCCAGAGACAGAGCAGTTAACTGTCCTTCTACCCTGCTTCCATTTGAATAGAGTTATTGGCAATGAGGAGTTTTTCTTTTCTTTAAATCTTTCTCTCAATAAAAGGCTTTCCAAATTTCTTGTTACATTAAAAATCATGAGGAGTGCTTAAGGGTGTAAAATTATAAAATTTGAGTGCTGGTTTTGAAACACCATTCTGCCATTTAATAACTAACATATTTTAGTCACTTAAATCCACTTCATTTACTGGTAAAAAGAAAAAAAAGATCGTAATATTACCTAACACATAGGGATGTTTTGACAATTAAAGAGGAAACTCCATGTGAAGAGTATAGGTCAGAGGCTGATGCAGTAGGCACTTTAGAAATATTTGCTAACAGGATGATGATGATGATGATGGCAATGATAACGATGACATTCTTCAGAGGTCTTCCTTCTGAAGAAGCAAAAAATTCTAGGTTATAGTCCTTATTCTCTGGGAAAAAAATATTATGAAGACCTTTTATTTCGTATTTATTTTCCCTGTATATTTTGCAAAACTGAGAGCCCTAGGCATCATGACTCCCTAGGATGACTTGCAGAATAAAACTGACTCAGCATCTTCAGAAATGTATGGGCTCGAACTTTCTGAATAGTAAAACATTTGGTTAACTTCTTAAATCAAGATAGATTCACATGTACATGACATTACACAAAGCAAATCCGTTCTGAGATGGAGTCTTATAACCTAGGCTGAACTATGTGTACAGTAAATTGAAGGAAACCCTAAAACTGAAAAATGCACTAAATCTACCACCCATCTTCCTATTTTCTTCTATTCAGTATAGCAGTTCTGGTAGGTTTTTATTTTCTCACCGAAGACTGCACTGCTCTTAAATAAACATGATTATAGCCTAGAAGAGCTACAGACTGCTTCAGATGCTAAAAATAAAATAGTTAAAATGGAGAGACTTCAATTTGATGCGGGCTGCTCAACAATTTAACTTCTAATTGTCTTGTGGTTATTCCACAACTAGGAATTGACCATATTCCGTTTAAAGGAGATTGAAGGTCTCAGGAAAAATAAGAAATGAAGTGGAAGTTTTCTTCCCAAATCTTGATCTCTAGAAAAATGAGCAAAAATAGTTATATTTTAATTCTAAAATAAAAATATGAAATCTTAAGTCACATCTTTGAATCTTCTCTTTTATAAAATAGCTTAGTATTCTTCTAGTCATGGAGATTAAAGCAAACAAGTTGCATATTAGCAATGATGTTTCAACTAAAACATTTGCCTCTTATTGAGAATGACAGAAGCAAATAGTTCTTAATAAAATAAAATTCATCTCAAGTTCTTTTTTAGTTTCCATTTCAATTGTGAAAAATTCTTAATGCCATAGGCATTAACGTGATAATTTTCTAACTTTCTTTTATAGCCTTAGAAACATGCCATTGCTTTATAAAATAAAACAAATTTTGAGTATTTGTGATTCTTTTGGCTTGTGATATTGAATTGAAAATAATGAATCATTTGATAATTCAGTGTGAAGGCAAGTAAATTGTTTTTCATGTCGTGGTGAAAAGGCTATTTTAAAAACATTCATGTGAACAGTATAGAATAAATATACACATTTATGAAAAATATAATTATATATATTTATAGTCTCACCACCCCCAGACCTAAATCCATAGTTATTTAGATTTTCATAACATTTAGATATTATTAGCAGCCCAATCCCAAGTACACTGAAATAAAGTCTAGATTATTGGGTGGATAGTGCAAAGTGAATTTAGCAACTGAAGTGAACAATCTAGTTCTCAACCATGATAAAATAGTTCTCCATAACATATTTTACTGACCTCAGTTTCTTTATATGGATTTTTTTCCTCTCCCTACTCCTTACACATTAGTATCTCTTCGGGCTTTATTCTTGTCTGTTTCCTCAACTCTCACTTTACCTGCTTTCTTTGGGCAATTTCATCTTTGCACTTAGTTTTTACTACACCTACACACATTCTAATATTGTGTGTGTGCATTCAATATATATACACCTAAACATATGCACATAGGCATATTATATATGTGTGGGTGCATAAATATGTATATATCTATAGATTTGGGGGTGTATATGTATGTGTGTGTGTATATATATATGTATATATATCTTCATATTTATATGTGTGCGTGTATATATGTATATAGTATATATATCCTGGAAACTAAAGAGGATGTGTATGTATATACTATATACATACACACACACATAAATATGAAGATATAGAGGTACATAAATATGAAGACAGAGAGAGCCTTAATGTCATCCTGCGATGATAAACTCTTTTCATTCAGCAGATAGATGTTCAAAGCCTATACATTAAACACTGAACTTGAAATATAATTTTCTAAATTGCTTTTCTTCCTATTATTTTATTTTTTAATTTATGGCACCCATCCAGCCAACAAATTAAAAAAATTAGGATTTAATCAATACTCTTTCTTAATCCTTTCTTCCATCTTCATCCAATCAATTTCTTAATGACTCAAGATTTTAAATTACCTCTTTGTCTTTATTTTATTGTCATATTTCAGGCCTTTGGCATTTTCTTTTGGATTATTGAAATAACCTTGCAATTGCAGTTCTCAGTTCCAATTTTGCCCCCTCTAGATCCAGAATCATTTTCAGCTAAAGTTTTTTTTTTTTTCCTTAAATCCTTATGTGGATACTCATTTCCTATAGAAATCTAAAAATACATCTAGTTTAAAAAGATTAACATATAGATTGTTTTTTGGGCAGCACTACCTTTCTCTAGTCTAATTTCCAACCCACCATTCATTCCTCTATTTTATTTTATTCTGGAAAATACTGAGATAATCCAATACAGCAAACTCGGAAAGTTTCCCTGGCTTCTCTCACACTGTTCCATCAGCCTAGAGTGGCTTTTCACCATTAGTTGCCTAGGTAAGCCCCCTATTTACCCTTCAAAACTATATTCATGCCTGCCTCAGTGAATCACCCTTGTAACCCCAGCACTTGGGAGGCTGAGACAGGAGGATCACTTGAGGTCAGGAGTTCGAGACCAGCCTGGCCAACGTGGTGAAACCCTGTCTCTAATAAAAACATAAAAATTAGCCGGGCTTGGTGGTGCATAACAGTATTCCCAGCTACTTGGGCGGTTGCGGCAGGAGAATAGCTGGAACCCAGGAGGCAGAGGTTGCAGTGATCCCAGATTGCGCAGCTGCACTCCAGTCTGGGCAACAGAGTGAGACGCTGTCCGCACCTATCCCCCGCCCCCCACCCCCCAAAAAAAAAACAAAAAAAAAACAAAACTTTATTCAGATTTTACCCTACTTGAGAAGTGTTTGCTGAGTCAGACGGACTTAGTGATGGCAACGATGGGCCATGCAGAGTGGCCACTGCCATCCCACTGACTACAGGGAGGAGGCGCCAGCAGCGGCAGCAGGAGCGCCTGCAGGAACAGTAGAGCCGCAATGGGACCCCTGTGCCCTGCATCCCCCATGCCCCGTGTCCCCGAGGCAGCCAACTGTGCTGCCCCCACACCCTCATGGCTGGGCTGGACCCTCCTCCAGGTCCAGAGCCTCCACTGCTTCAGACCCTGGCCCTGTGTCGCCGCTCTGGCCTCCCACCACTGCCGTGAGGGCCTAGGGAGGAGGCAGGCAGGCCCCAAAGCCCGCCCCTGGAAGACCCCAGAGCCCAGGGCCCTGGGGGCTGCTGTGATGTGGCTGGCCCAAGTTGCCCACCGTTGAGGGAGAAGCGTGATCAGGCACAGAGAGGCAGGCAGAGAGGGGTACCGAGGTGGAGCTGGTCCCTGGAAGGTGCAGTGCTTTCACATGGAGTGCAGGGGCCCCTGGACGGTGGAGCTGGGGCCACGCTTCGGGGACCTGGGGCAGGAAGGGGGAGGGGAACCCAGTTTGGGAACTCGGCCAGCAGCACAACCACCATGCCCACCCCGATGGTGTTCAGTTCTTGTGCCTTGGGAGAAGGCTCTGTGCTGGCTGCCTAGGAATGCCACCCCTCTGAGCCTGACCCTCCTGGCAGCTGGGACCGGGGCCTGCTATCCACTCCCAGAGATACCCTCTGCGGCTAGGCAAGGCTGCAAGCTGGGTGAGGGGGAGTCCCCGGCCTCCCTGAATGCCGGGGCCACAGGAAGAGCTTGTGGAGACTCACCCCTGCCTCAGAGGCCAGCCCAGGCCCAGCGAGAATCTGGAACCCCCACCTCAGGCTGCAAGGGGATGTGGCTGGGGCTGCCTGCAGGCTCCGTGGAACGGGCAAGAGTCCTGCCCTCCCAGGTGCAGGACCCAGGCGTCTCTGCACTCTGCACTCTTGGGGGGCAGGAAGGAACCCCTTTCCCCTGCAGGCTCAAGGGTGTCTGCTCCCACTGCCTGGTTCTCCCTGCTCCTTGTGCCTGGTCTGATCTCAGAGCAGGGTTGGGGCCAAGCCCAGGTGCTGTCACAACCTGGCCGGTTGCGTATGCGTGAGGCAGCACTGACATGCCATAAGGGCAGCTCAGCACTGGCCTACAGGTGCCCCTTGGCACAGCAGCCTGGGCACCATAGATGGCAACAGGAGACAGGTTCCTGGGTGGAAAGGGGCGGGTCCCCAGTGAGGCCCCACTTTCAGGCCACAGAGGGCCTGAAAGCTAAGGGCTAGGCTGCCAGTCCTGCTGAGCAGAGTGGGAACTTGTGGTGCCTTTTCTGGGCCCACCCATGGCTGCCATAGACCAATCAGTGCACACTTTCTCCCCTCTGAGGCCCATAATGGCCCCAGGCTCAGCCAGAGCAGAGGAGAGGATGGGATGACCAGCTGCAGAGAGGAACTATCCTCTCCACTGAGAACTGAACACTTGGGAGGTCCTGCCTGCATAGAGGAGCTACTCTCTCTGCTAGGAGCTGAACACTGGTCAGGACACCCTGGCTATGGAAAGGAGCTACCCCTGTGGGTCTCCTATGAGCTATTTTATTGCTCAATAAAGCTCTCCTTCATTTTGCTCTCCCTCCACTTGTCTGCATACCTCATTCTTCCTGGTCATAGGACAAGATCTTGGGACCTGCTGAATGGTGAGGCTAAAAGAGCTATAACACAAACAGGGCTGAAACATGCCCCTTGCTCACCACATTGTGGGTAAAGAGAAGGAGAGAAGAGCTGTGGCCCTTTGGGGAACCCAGATCTGGGAGCTCCCTGAGCCAGGGCTGTGACTTCCTCTTTGGGGCCCTGCAGTTTCTGGCATCTCCAAGCTTCCGGGTATCACCGTGTTTCCTGAGGCCAGCTGTGGAAGCTCCTTGGGGTGTGTCTGGTCCAGCCGCAGTCTTGCAGAGGGTCAGTGCCCATGCCAGAACCTGGAGCTCCTCACCCCACTGCAGCAGCTGGTGTGTCTGCGCAGTGGCCAGACCCCATGCTCACATACCCCTCACCACTCCACACCTGATTTGCCCTTGGCAGGAATGGGAACCAGGCTGGTAGCATGAGCTAAGCTCAGCCTGCCAGGCTGAGTGCGTGGAATGAGCCCAGTGGGCCTGAGCAAAACTCAGGCAAAGACACCACTGGACACAGAGGTTTCTGGCCAGAAAAGCAACACCCCAAAGATCCCATAACATTAGCATCTCTTTTAGTTCTGTTTACATATTGCTGTGTAACAAACTATCCCAAAATTCAGTGGCTTGAAATGACAACCATGTTATTATATTTCACGATTTTGTGGGTCAAGAACTTGACAGGGCTGAAATGGCTGATTCCTTATACAATGCAAGAACATTAGGTGATATTTGGAGGCTGAGCAGTGTTAAAGAAAAAAGCTTCAGACATAATAAATTTAACATAATTTATTTGAGTAAATAAATATTCATGAATTGAGCAGCACTTCACACCAGAAGAGGTTCAGAGAGCTCCTCCCAGCAGTGTGAGCTGTGAGCTTTCATAAGAACATGAAAGTGAAGTAAAGAAATCACCTGACTGGCTACAGGCAGGCATCTGCTTAATTATCTGAGCATAGTGTAATGAGGCATTGGCCTTATTTGGGTGTGGGTCTGATCAGTTGGCTGCCTGTAATTGGCTGAAACGTGGCTGTTTGTGTTTAACTGAAACCCAGATATTTGTTACAAAAAATATACTCAAGTTATGTTTTGATTTGTTTGCTTAACTAAGTTAGGTTAGTTTGTTATGTAGGAACTTAAAGTACAGAGGCAGCCTCTGGCTATTTAACAGCAGGTTTAAGAGTCTAACATGGGTCACTTAAAAGCTGGGCACATTGATGGGGATTGCCGAAAGGCAGGGCTCAGATGGATCCCTCTCTTTCTCCATGTAATCTCAAGGGCTTTCCACATGGTCTTTCCAGGAGGATAATAGGGCTTTGTACATGGCAGCTTAGGGCTCCAGGAGAACAAGGCAGAAACCTACCAGGCCTCTTAAAACTAGACTCTGAATGATATAGTGAAACTTCTTTTGGACTCAAAGCCACAATCCACCCCAGATTCAGGTAGAGGTAAATAGACCCCACCTTGCAATGTGAGGAGAGTCAAAAGAATTTATGGTCACTTTGAATCCACCACCACATTCTAAATTTTACATAAATGTTGTCTGTACTTACGTTATTACTGTATAATTATTTATTTACATGTCACACTGTGAGCTCTTTGAAGACCAAAAACTTTGCCTTACTCATCTTTGTATTCCAGCACCCAGAACTGTACATAGTTTTGTTGCATTAATCATGTTGCTATTCCTTACTCTTTTAGGACAAATGGCTGCTTCAGAAGACTCCAGTATAATAGCAGGGCCAGGCAGTATTTGTAGAATACCTGGGAGTTTTCTCCAGTTCTACATACTAGTGAGAACTCTTCCATTTTGTTCTGTGATAATTTTTTCTCTAAATGTTTCTTTTAGGGACTATAGCCAGTAATATGTTTCCTGTCATCTTCTTCCCAATGACTCCAGGAAAAAATGTTGGAAAGGCAAGGTGAGAGATTAGATTCTTCACCTTTTGTTACTGATTAGCAAAATTGAGCCTGGAAATCAGTAGAGAAAGGACGTTTTTAACAACAGGCAAATGAGGAGCTAGCTTTAAAAGAAAACAAATCTCGTAACTTAAATATAATACATTTTGGAAGAAAAACTGGTTGATGGATAATTCATCACTCAGAAATTGCCAGATGATATGTATGGGTTGACGGATATTCTTTTACTTCATATATTAACTCTAACCTTGCTCAAAGCATTTAAATTCCTGTTTCCTCATCCATAAATTATACATATATATTAATCTAAAAGGTAATTATAGTTTTTATGTTTCCATGGCTAATAGTAGAGAAACACACTCTAGTTTTAGAAGACATTTTCAAAATAGTCAAGGATGCTTTTGATTGCAGATTAAATGACTATCCCCCACTCGCTACCTCCTTCATTTCAACATAAAGATACTATTTAGTACTGAAAATTAGACAGAATTTTTTCTACTAAAACTAATTTCTTATTTCCCAAACTTGATTAACCATAAGTTTTACCTCAAAATATAAATTCATAAGGAAATCTCCAGAGGGAGAAACCTAAGAATTATCCAAGGGTGATTCTTATAATCAGGCAAATTTCAAAAACAGTCATAAAACCCAATACCCCTGAGTTAATCTAAGAAAATTGCTAAGTTATTTAGTTAGAAAAAAATTCTAGATTATTGAATTTAGAAAGAAGAATTTCTAAATTTTTAAGAAATTGTTCTGAAATATTTTTCACAAGGAGAATCAGACTGATTTGAAGAAATAATCAAATGCGTTTATTTCTCATGAGAATTTAACATATATGGAAAAGGGCTGAAGAGGTCGTCTCCATCCCCCGTGTCATGAACTAAATGCTTGTGCCTCCGATTCATATTTTGAAGTCCTAACCCCAAATAAGATGGTATTTGGCTGGCCTTTGGAAAGGAATCAAATTTAAATGAGGGTATGAGACTGTGGCCCCATGAGAGGATTACTGTCCTCATGAGAAGAGGAAGAGACACCAGAGCTCCCTATTTTTCCAACATGTGAGGACACTGCAAAAAGATGGCCGTGTGCAAGACAGAAAGTTGCCTTCACAACAAACAGAATCTGCTGGCACCTGCATCTTGGACTTTACTGCCTCCAGAACTGTCTACTGTTTAACCACCCAGTCTATGGTATTTTTTTATATCAGCTAAGCTGACATCAGCTAAGCTGACATTTATTTATAGATAATAAAACTCAGGCCCAGTTTTTTCTATTTCTATTATTTTTATTATTATTAAAACTCCTTAAATAGACTTCTTTACAAGGGAGAAATCATCACTAATCCATCACGCCCGTCCATATTTCTACATAGATACCTTTTATCTACTTATATTATTCCTGCATACTGATTTATGTTTAGGTCCCAATCCATGCCTCCAAAATTTTGATTCAGCACACAATAAAAACACTGAGAATCTTTGGGAGAATAGTTGTGGTGATCACAGTGAGGAGTAGTTAGGGGGTAAGTCTTGTTTTGGGGGCTGGACTATAGAAAATGAGTGAGTATATCTAATTCAGTTAAATGTATTTGTAAAAGCTGTACATTTTTTTTCAGTTAGAGAAGAATTTGTTTTACTAATGATTCCTTCAAGTGCACATCTAGTTACAGTATCTACCTAAATCATCCTTTCAGTGATCATTGATTTTGATGTTTCCAAGCATAGGATTAACGACAGTAGTTTTTTTTTTAAGTCTCCCTTTGTATCCAATAAAAAGAATATTTATATACTTCAAAATAGAATCCTTCTTGAAAAGTAAAAAGGGAGGTTTTTCATTTTCTTTTTCCAATTACATCAGCATTCCCTAAATGAAAGTAATTTTCCTCTAGGAAACAAAATCAGTGCTCAGAAAAAAATATGGTTATAGGATGTACTCAGAAAAAAAATATGGTTATAGGATGAGGTCACCAATAATAAAATGGTGGTAAAGAACAATGCTTGTTATTCCAGATCACATCAGATAAAATATTTGTGGGCATTATATAATTTACATGCTATGAGTTATGTAAAAGACTTTGGGCTTGGAGACATCCGGATATGAATGCTTCTCTAATCTGTCTGTTATGAGAACCTAGGCATGTTATTTTTATCTTTCTGAGTCTCATAATTCTCATCTGTAAAATAAGCCTGATAAAAATTTTATCCATCTCCTGAGATCACCGTGATAATTAGATGAGTTATTGCACACTTTATATGTAGAACTGTGCCTGGCATATGATAAATGCTCAAGAAATGCAAGTGATTTGTGATTATTTATTGCAAGAATGGAGATAACCCAAACCTTTGCATTTACATTGCTATATTAGCTTTTGCTACCATAGAGAGTCACCTAAACTTTGTAATTCAATTTTCAAAACACTGTTAATGTATTTGGTTTTAACATAAGAAGCCAATTGCCTACTGAATATAAATGGAGTACTCCTGAACATTTCTTAGCAATTGACCATCTCTGTGATCTGCTAAAGGTCATTGATTTTTCCCTTTGTCTCACCTTCTATGATGGCCACATGCAAGTTCAGGGGTTGATGTCATATAACCCTTTTCGGTTTTTTTTTGTTTTTTTTTTTAAGGAGAGTTCAGGGATTGGTAGAAAGGCACAACAGAGTTGGGCATACAAGTCGAAATCAGGAGACTTAACCACCTATATGACTGGGGTCAATCCACATGTCCATTCTATACACAATGTCCAGAGCTCACCATTTTGAGCTGCCAGGTATTACTTTGGCATCCCCTAATTCTGTCATTAGTGCTGTCATTTCCTTACACCCAGACTTTAAAATCTCATGCCTTCATCTTATTAAATGTCAAATAAAGACATATATATATATATATTTTTTTTAAAAAATCCCTCATACACATTCTTAACACTCACTCCATGTTGATTCTCATTTCGGCCATCATCTTTGGCATGGGGTTTGTGGCAAAAGTGTTTACAACTATTTAAACTATGTCTGATCTCTTCCCACTCTAATGCATCCCACACCTGCTACTGGTTCAATCTCCATAAAGCTTAGCTACATGGCTTCAACTTGGCTTTTCACTCTTCACCCCAATATTTGCCATCTATATCTTACCATTTTAGTCCAACAAATCTGATCATTCACTGTTCTCCAGAAATGTTTTGAGTATTCCCCATCTATTACCTTTGCTTTTGCCATTGCCTTGAATCTCTAATGCATGCCTCACGTCATTTTTGTGTGCATAAGATATTTCAGATATTCCTGTCTTCTATAAAGCCTGATGGATCCACCAAAATCTCTCGTCTCTTTGATCCTACATAACACTTAGTCACACTCTCCTGCTCTCTCTCTTTTTTGATGTGGAAAACACAGGCTTTAGTATCAAATAAACCTCAATGCACTTACTATGGGACATTGGGCAAGTATTGTGACTCACAGAATCATAGATTCATCTATATAATAGGGATGGTATAAGAGCAATATTTACCTTGGAGAGTTATTATGAGAGTAAAATGCAGCAAAGCTTATAAAAAGACCAGTCCAAAATTGAAACAAGGATGGTTAACTATTATTTTACTCATATTAAATGAAATATAAAGTATATAATAAGACATGCCTTATAAATGGCAGAGGCTCGATAATTGTCCACTTAGATTTAAAATAAAAAATATTATCACTTAAAAAATTTTCTTCCACCATTAGTCAGACCACCTACTACTGCCCTAAGAATGACTACATTGTCCAGTCTTAAAGAGGCTTTTCTGCACAAATAACCAAGAGATGTCTGTTACTATGAACCTACCATAGTAACAAACAAATTTAAAAGTAGCTGAAAAATTAGAGCAGGAAATAAGTACCCAAAGCCTGCCAACTGTCAGCAAAATGCTAACCTGCTTGAATATTTTCTTGGTTTCTGTTTTAAAAACATGAGGGCTGAAGTACTAAAATTTGTGATCCAAAACTAAACATAGTAAGACACAAATAACAGTGTAAACGTTTTGGTTGTGTAACCCATCCTACTTTGGTTGATGGAACTTGGAGAAACAGATGGTGATGTCCATGACTGTTTGATCATTGACACATCCTGTATTATGCAAGTATGGAACTGGGTAGTATAAAAGGCTGCTCTCATTAGGAAAGTTTGACCTGTGTGCTATTTATGGCTCAGAATTTGATGTTACCATAGCAAATGAAATGGAGTTCAAGAGAGACAATATTCCTTAACCTAAGTACATTACCAACAAAACTAATTCTAAGATCATTACCTTTCTATGAGGCCTGCAGTCAACATTCCAAACCCTAGACAGTCAATAAACAGAAAAGAGAATTTGGCACAAGCAGTTGAGAAGAGGAATCCATTTAGTTTCACAATGGGGCTGGCCCTAAAAAGGACTAGGAAAATTCCAGTTGAGGATTTACCTAGTATATCTTCCCTCACGTTTGGTCCTAACTTGTTCATCTTTGATTTCTTAGTTGAATTGTTTCCCCTGTGACCTTCTATTCTATTCATTCTCTTGCTTCCTTGCCTCTTTACTTCATGATGAGGACTAAACTCTTTCTATAATGAGCATTCAGCATCAGTCAATAGCTAAGGCTTAGCTATTGAGAATAACTCAATAGGTTTTAGTTGTAATATATTTCAGTAAATAATTTATTATATCATTACATAATGATTAGATAATACTCAATGCATTCTAATTAGTAATCTTTTATAGAAAATGTATTCAGGCATCTAACATAACTGAATTCTTACTTCCCTTCCATTTTTTCCTGTCTTTTAGATTTCCACATCTATAAAATGGAAATGATAGTAGTAAACTCTTTTGAGAATTTCTTAGAAGATTAAATAAGAAAATTCATGCACAGTTCCTGATACCTCATAACTGGCCCATAAATTTTAAGACATTGCCTGTCTCATTATGTCAGTCAGCAAATATTTTTTGAAAATCTATTTTGCATGAGGTCTAGAGATGACAGAACTGTATTCATTGCCCTAAAGAGAATCTCAAGCTAAAATGAGTTACATGATAACTCACAAAACAAGACCAAACTCATCACCATGAGAGCTTTGAGGGGAATCATCTAAGTCAGTCAGGGATTGAGGAGGAAGAAGGTGTCAGGAAAGCTGCGCAGAGGAGGCAACTCATTAGGGACGTCTCGAAGGATTTCATAAATAAAAAAGAGGTTTGGCAATAAAAATGGTGAAGGAAAACACTGAAAGGGCCCAGAGATCAGAGAAAGACTAGAGTGTCTGAGAGATTAAAAGGGGCTCTGCAAAACAACTTAGACTTAGGGGTTTTGGGGAGAAATAAGGCTGGCCATTTGCCCCAGTCATGATGGGGGAGAGCTTTGTATGACAGAGTGAGAAGGTTGGATTTCATCCTGAAGGAAAGGGGGAAGCAAAGGCCTAGAAATATTAAAAGAAGGCTGAGGAATGACAGGATCATACAAAAAGGAGAGGCAAGTTAGAAAGCCACTGCAACAGCTCGTGTTAAAAGAGGTGAGCCAGCAAAGAGAGCAAAAAGGAAGGTTCAGACTGAGTGTTTTGTGGAAGTCCTTTGTTTTTTACTGAATCGACATGTTCTTATTTCTAGGTTTAGAAATTTGTTAATGTTTTGTTCAATGAGGTTACAGATTTCTAAAATGTGTTTCTTTAGGCTTTCATACTTTATTCTCTTCTCGGTGAGAACCTGAAAAATAGTGTGAATAACTTGAAAAGCTACTAAGGTGGTTGGATTAAAAAAATAGTGCAGACAAAAAATAATAAGGAAAATTGGCTACACTCTATTTTCTGTTTGCTTTTTCTCAGTCACATTGCCCTGCATTTAAGTGTCTCAAATACAGTATTAATTCCCTGCAAGGTAAGTACTAAGAAGGCAGGTAGTAACACTCATTTTTGCTCAGTAGAGACTGTCCCTGAGAAAGGCCTGGAATTTGCCCAAGTCTATTTACCTAATTAGAGATGGAGTTGGGCTGTCACACCTGCTGTAACACAGAGGTTTTTCAAAATAAAGATCACATCAGTAGGAATGTTTTTCTGGGAAGAGCAGCTTGACTTCTTCAGGAAAAGAATGAGGGTAGTGATTCATTTCCAATGCCAGAGACATTATAGAGACATTATGCAGAATATGTCCAAGTCTCAGAATCTTGGTCTGCACGTGCACACACACACACACACACACACACACACACACACACTCTCTCTCTCTCTCTCTCCCTCTCTCTCTTTCTCTCTTACACTTCATGATAGCTGGGGTAAAACATCTTTCAAATGGAGTAGAGCGATAGGGAGGTAAATTTCACTTTCTACCAAATATAGCATAGGAACTGTCTTGAATTTTTTCAGTGGCACTTTCCCTAAGTCAAGTATGGGTATCTTCTCCACACTTTTCACTCCTATCTCTGCATTTGTCTCCTAAGGAAAATGAATGAAATTACCCACAGAATATGGGAAACAGGCCAATGAATCCCTTGATAATTGGGTTTTCACTGCAGGAGAAAGCTGAAAAGGTATTCTAGCAGCAGATCACACAAAGAAAAATGAGGCAGTAGAGATAAGGGAGTTAGTTTGATCAAAACATAAAAAGAACAGCAAATTCCAAGTAAGACCAAAGTTTATCTTGGGCTTTTATAGGTAAGGGCTGTAACACTAGTTCTTGCTTCTTTCTATTCAATTTATTTTCCAAATATACACTGCCTTATGCTTGAATAAGTTGTTAAACTATTTTGTTTCGAATCTTTGGGATACTCTTGATAACATTTACAAACAGGTTAGATAATGTATTTCATGTCCTACATTTCTGAATTTTGATCCTTGTCCTGCTGATCTCCTAGTATGCCTTCTTTTTTACTTTGACTTAACATAGAAGACTAGCAACAATACGCTAGAATTTATTTCCCAGTGATAGCTTTTAGTGGATTAAGATAATATTTGTATCCCATCAAGGCAAAGAATACTGTCATCACTCTGAACTTTCAAGCAGTTCTTCAAGGTTTATACATTTTATCTCATTCTTCCCCCCCGCCGCCACTAAAGCAGATCAGTAGAGATGTAAGAACAGGTCTAATCGAGATGGGAAAACACAAATAAAGATAAGTCAAATAACTTGCCAATCAATAAGTATAGTACTATGTCCTTTAGAATTGCATACCAAGGCTCCGAGTGTCTGCTAGCAGGTCAATAAAATTCAGAACAATTAATAATTAAATGTGAGGTGAGGGGGAGGTAAAAATTAAACACTTGCAATTTCATAAACAAAACAGTTGACGAAATTTTTAGTGTTTGTAGAGTGGTAATAGTGAGATTTAACTGATTTTTATGTTACCTTTTATGAAGATTGGAGGGTGCATAAATATGGCATGTGCTAAAGATCTAGCATTAGATCCTCTGCTTCTTTCTAGTTAGATACAATGCTTTTACCTTTGGAATAATTTTGCTATTTAGATAGGAAAAAGATGCAGTTAAGTTTATCTTATTGTATCTTTACCATCTATAAATCATTATTATTTTGTAGAAATGAATCAAAAAAAGTTTTAAGGTTTTTGTGACTATTTAAAGCAAATAAATTTATACTGAAATTTCATTTACTTTTTTTTACTGTTGTTAATTGAGTTAATCTTTAGTCGAGTTGAGATTATATTGAATTTTAAAATATAAAGTAATGCAGATTAAACACTAAGCATGGAATTCTGGAAGTCAATCATTGCCTTCATTTGCCACAAACTCCTTTCACATCCTTGGCTTCTCCAAGACAGTCTTAACAATAACTAAAGAGCTAAAGGAAGTAATAGCTATTAAAAAACAGAGTTAGTATGGTGTGGAAATTAGACTAATTAATTCATTATTCAAGTAAAACTTTTTATAACTACTATGCATGAACCAAATTTTAATACTTTGCTAACTGTAATTTTTCCCCCCAATGACATGCAAATAATAAATTTTTCTCCTTTCCCCAACATCCCCTAACATTTGTGTTCTGTTCCTTTAAACAGTGTCAAGATGCATTAAATAAATACAAAGTTAGCCTGATGAAGAACAAACTTATTTTCATTCTAAAAAAGGCATCACTTGCTCAGTTGCTCTGTCATGCCTGTGGACGTTGTTATCGCTCATATCTTTTAAACACACAGCATCCCTTTCTTCCTTCTTATCCAGGCTGTCACCAAATCCTTTTACTTCTTGCCCAACAGTCTCTTAACTCTATCTCTTCTTTGGTCTCTTTTGCCAAATACCATATGCTGATTAGGCCTTCTCTTAATGTTTTCTTTTGTTTATTTTAAACCTCTTGATTCCTCTCTCCCTGATTGCCACCTCACTGCTAGAATTATCTTTTGTTGTTGGGATTTCCATTAAGGCATTTTCTTAGAAATTTTCCTTTCTAAACAAAGTTAAAAACAACTGTTTAAAAATCACTCTGCTGTTCCCAGGAAGCAGGAATAGATATGTACATTTGGCCTCCCATATGTCATCTTATTCATTTCCCAGGGAGGCTGTTATATATTTTTAAAATGCATGTATTAGAATTAAAAATGCATAATATTAATGTTGCTTATGTTTACTGGTTGCCTACTATACACCAGTCACTTTATATAAATAACATTACTTACCTGCAACAACTGTTCAGGTAATAAGCATTATCCCCATTTTTCAACTGAGGGAACTGAACACAGATAATTTTAGTTACCTGCATCTCGTTCCGCCTAAAACTGCCTCCCATTAATAACAACTCATCTTTTATCTGTACCTTGCTAACTTCTTTCTTCGGTTTGTAGTGGGATAGAACTCATTGTACTAACTCCAATTTCCACCCAAGTTTTCCTAACAGAACTGAGCTGACCTGGAATATTTCCTAGCTCCAGTGATCTTTTAGACCCCCTGCAGCAAAGCTCTGGGTTTGGACTATGGGGAAATGACCACTGTCTTAGCAAGACATTAAAGGGGGATTTTTTTCTCTACTTTCTGTTAGTACACATTTATTGTTCCCTTAAATTTAGAGGTGGGGATTGGACTTAAGATAAAGACGTTTTTGAAAGAAAGCAGTGAAGAATTTAAGATGTCTGAAAAGGCAGGTCTAGAGACTTCCCAAGACAAGAAAGGAATTAACTGGGCCCCCTAGAAATGGCAGTGGTTTAAGAATGGCAAAGCCTTGAAAATGGTTTAGAAAATTCCCAAAGGTCTCCTCACTTCCTTAGATTTCCTATCTAAAATTCTTCCCTTTTTTTCCTTTTCATCCTTATTTATCAATTTGACTATTTATTGAACCCAATGATAGGCTTTAATTTTCTATTAATCTGTACAGTCATTACCAGAGTTTGATACTATTTCCATTTTTAATATGTGTAATAAATAAGTCTTAGAGAGGTTTTGTGATTTGCCTAAGATCACTTGTTAGTACTAGGTAAATAAGGAGAATTTGAACCCAAATCTCTCTGTCCTCAAAAGGTAAGGCTCTTAACCATTACCCTAAATTGCTTTTTCTAAAGGTTTCTATGCATCTACTGTATAGCACTAAGAATGAGAGGCCGAATAATTAGAAGTTATCCCTGACCACAAAAAATTTATACATGAAGAAAGGAAGTGGGCAAGAAAGGAAATGATAGTATGTGGTAAAGAGTTATTGTAGAAAAATTAGCCCAGTGTTCTAACTCTATTGGATTATTATAAAAGGTATTTTTTTTTGTCTTGTGCCCTGCCACCAACCACATTCCCCAAGAGTAGATCAGCCAAAGCTTTCTTCTTCAGAAGGATATCTAGAAAAAATTCACACACATAGGCAAAACATGAGCAGGAGGTAAGAGTAAGAGGCAATGCTGAAAGAAAAGTGGAGAAAGACATGAAAATATACTAAACAGTTACCTTAAAATATGTTAAATAAGAATTGTAAAAAAGCAAAAGGCCGTAATATAGTAAGCTTAAAAGAGCAAGATGTAGAATGATATGTTTTCAACTATTATTCTCTTTCCAGAAAAATAAATAAATAAAACCTCCTTCTATGACACGAATGCTAGTTTATGTGTATATAAGGAAGGAGAGGAGAATACATAGGGGAGTTTGTCAAAGATTAGTGTTGTGTTTATGCATCTCTGCATGAATTATTTAATACACCACACCAAGCATCATTTCCTTTTGTAATCTAAAAGACATCAAAATGGAGTAATGTGGAAGTTATTTTTTTTATTATTATTATACTTTAAGTTTTAGGGTACATGTGCACAATGTGCAGGTTAGTTACATATGTATACATGTGACATGCTGGTGTGCTGCACCCATTAACTTGTCATTTAGCATTAGGTATATCTCCTAATGCCATCCCTCCCCCCGGCCCCCTCCCCACAACAGTCCCCAGAGTGTGATGTTCCCCTTCCTGTGTCCATGTGTTCTCATTGTTCAATTCCCACCTATGAGTGAGAACATGCGGTGTTTGGTTTTTTGTCCTTGCGATAGTTTACTAAGAATGATGATTTCCAGTTTCATCCATGTCCCTACAAAGGACATGAACTCATCATTTTTTATGGCTGCATAGTATTCCATGGTGTCTATGTGCCACATTTTCTTAATCCAGTCTATCATTGTTGGACATTCGGATTGGTTCCAAGTCTTTGCTATTGTGAATAGTGCCGCAATAAACATACGTGTGCATGTGTCTTTATAGCAGCATGATTTATAGTCCTTTGGGTATATACCCAGTAATGGGATGGCTGGGTCAAATGGTATTTCTAGTTCTAGATCTGTGAGGAATCGCCACACTGACTTCCACAATGGTTGAACTAGTTTACAGTCCCACCAACAGTGTAAAAGTGTTCCTATTTCTCCACATCCTCTCCAGCACCTGTTGTTTCCTGACTTTTTAATGATCTCCATTCTAACTGGTGTGAGATGGTATCTCATTGTGGTTTTGATTTGCATTTCTCTGATGGCCAATGATGGTGAGCATTTTTTCATGTGTTTTTTGGCTGCATAAATGTCTTCTTTTGAGAAATGTCTGTTCATGTCCTTGGCCCACTTTTTGATGGGATTGTCTGTTTTTTTCTTGTAAATTTGTTTGAGTTCATTGTAGATTCTGGATATTAGCCCTTTGTCAGATGAGTAGGTTGCGAAAATTTTCTCCCATTTTGTAGGTTGCCTGTTCACTCTGATGGTAGTTTCTTTTGCTGTGCAGAAGCTCTTTAGTTTAATTAGATCCCATTTGTCAATTTTGGCTTTTGTTGCCATTGCTTTTGCTGTTTTAGACATGAAGTCCTTGCCCATGCCTATGTCCTGAATGGTAACACCTAGGTTTCTTCTAGGGTTTTTATGGTTTTAGGTGTAACGTTTAAGTCTTTAATCCATTTTGAATTAATTTTTGTATAAGGTGTAAGGAAGGGATCCAGTTTCAGCTTTCTACATATGGCTAGCCAGTTTTCCCAGCACCATTTATTAAATAGGGAGTCCTTTCCCCATTGCTTGTTTTTCTCAGGTTTGTCAAAGATCAGATAGTTGTAGATATGCAGCGTTACTTCTGAGGGCTCTGTTCTGTTCCATTGATCTATATCTCTGTTTTGGTACCAGTACCATGCTGTTTTGGTTACTGTAGCCTTGTAGTATAGTTTGAAGTCAGGTAGCATGATGCCTCCAGCTTTGTTCTTTTGGCTTAGGATTGACTTGGCAATGCAGGCTCTTTTTTGGTTCCATATGAAGTTTAAAGTAGTTTTTTCCAATTCTGTGAAGAAAGTCCTTGGTAGCTTGATGGGGATGGCATTGGGTCTATAAATTACCTTGGGCAGTATGTCCATTTTCACGATATTGATTCTTCCTACCCATGAGCATGGAATGTTCTTCCAGTTGTTTATATCCTCTTTTATTTCATTGAGCAGTGGTTTGTAGTTCTCCTTGAAGAGGTCCTTCACATCCCTTGTAAGTTGGATTCCTAGGTATTTTATTCTCTTTGAAGCAATTGTGAATGGGAGTTCACTCATGATTTGGCTCTCTGTTTGTCTGTTATTGGTGTATAAGAATGCTTGTGAGTTTTGTACATTGATTTTGTGTCCTGAGACTTTGCTGAAATTGCTTATCAGCTTAAGGAGATTTTGGGCTGAGACAATGGGGTTTTCTAGATATACAATCATGTCGTCTACAAACAGGGACAATTTGACTTCCTCTTTTCCTAATTGAATACCCTTTATTTCCTTCTCCTGCCTAATTGCCCTGGCCAGAACTTCCAACACTATGTTGAATGGGAGTGATGAGAGAGGGCATCCCTGTCTTGTGCCAGTTTTCAAAGGGAATGCTTCCAGTTTTTGCCCATTCAGTATGATATTGGCTGTGAGTTTGTCATAGATAGTTCTTATTATTTTGAGATATGTCCCATCAATACCTAATTTATTGAGAGTTTTTAGCATGAAGGGTTGTTGAATTTTGTCAAAGGCCTTTTCTACATCTATTGAGATAATCATGTGGTTTTTGTCTTTGGCTCTGTTTATATGCTGGATTACATTTATTGATTTGCATATATTGAACCAGCCTTGCATCCCAGGGATGAAGCCCACTTGATCATGGTGGATAAGCTTTTTGATGTGCTTCTGGATTCAGTTTGCCAGTATTTTATTGAGGATTTTTGCATCAATGTTCATCAAGGATATTGGTCTAAAATTCTCTTTTTTGGTTGTGTCTCTGCCCGGCTTTGGTATCAGGATGATGCTGGCCTCATCAAATGAGTTAGGGAGGATTCCCTCTTTTTCTGTTGATTGGAATAGTTTCAGAAGGAATGGTACCAGTTCCTCCTTGTACCTCTGGTAGAATTTGGCTGTGAATCCATCTGGTCCTGGACTCTTTTTGGTTGGTGAGCTGTTGATTACTGCCACAATTTCAGAGCCTGTTATTGGTCTATTCAGAGATTCAACTTCTTCCTGATTTAGTCTTGGGAGAGTGTATGTGTCAAGGAATTTATCAATTTCTTCTAGATTTTCTAGTTTATTTGCGTAGAGGTGTTTGTAGTATTCTCTGATGGCAGTTTGTATTTTTGTGGGATCAGTTGTGATATCCCCTTTATCATTTTTTATTGCATCTATTTGATTCTTCTTTTTTTCTTTATTAGTCTTGCTAGTGGTCTATCAATTTTGTTGATCCTTTCGAAAAACCAGCTCTTGGATTCATTAATTTTTTGAAGGGTTTTTTGTGTCTCTATTTCCTTCAGTTCTGCTCTGATTTTAGTTATTTCTTGCCTTCTGCTAGCTTTTGAATGTGTTTGCTCTTGCTTTTCTAGTTCTTTTAATTGTGATGTTAGGGTGTCAATTTTGGATCTTTCCTGCTTTCTCTTGTGGGCATTTAGTGCTATAAATTTCCCTCTACACATTGCTTTGAATGTGTCCCAGAGATTCTGGTATGTTGTGTCTTTTTTCTCATTGGTTTCAAAGAACATCTTTATTTCTGCCTTCATTTCGTTATCTACCCAGTAGTCACTCAGGAGCAGGTTGTTCAGTTTCCATGTAGTTGAGCAGTTTTGAGTGAGTTTCTTAATCCTGAGTTCTAGTTTGATTGCGCTATGGTCTGAGAGACAGTTTGTCATAATTTCTGTTCTTTTTCATTTGCTGAGGAGAGCTTTACTTCCAAGTATGTGGTCAACTTTGGAATAGGTGTGTGTGGTGCTGAAAAAAATGTATATTCTGTTGATTTTGGGTGGAGATTTCTATAGATGTCTATTAGGTCCGCTTGGTGAAGAGCTGAGTTCAATTCCTGGGTATCCTTGTTAACTTTCTGTCTCGCTGATCTGTCTAATGTTGACAGTGGGGTGTTAAAGTCTCCCATTATTATTGTGTGGTAGTCTAAGTCTCTTTGTAGGTCACTCAGGACTTGCTTTATGAATCTGGGTCCTCCTGTATTGGGTGCATATATATTTAGGATAGTTAGCTCTTCTTGTTGAATTGATCCCTTTACCATTATGTAATGGCCTTCTTTGTCTCTTTTGATCTTTGTTGGTTTAAAGTCTGTTTCATCGGACACTAGGATTGCAACCCCTGCCTTTTTTTGTTTTCCATTTCCTTGGTAGATCTTCCTCCATCCTTTTATTTTGAGCTTATGTGTGTCTCTGCACGTGAGATGGGTTTCCTGAGTACAGCACACTGATGGGTCTTGACTCTTTATCCAATTTGCCAGTCTGTGTCTTTTAATTGGAGCATTTAGTCCATTTACATTTAAAGTTAATATTGTTATGTGTGAATTTGATCCTGTCATTATGATGTTTGCTGGTTATTTTGCTCGTTAGTTGATGCAGTTTCTTCCTAGTCTCGAGGGTCTTTACATTTTGGCATGATTTTGCAGCGGCTGGTACCGGTCGTTCCTTTCCATGTTCAGTGCTTCCTTCAGGAGCTCTTTTAGGGCAGACCTGGTGGTGACAAAATCTCTCAGCATTTGCTTGTCTGTAAAGGATTTTATTTCTCCTTCACTTATGAAGCTTAGTTTGGCTGGATATGAAATTCTGGGTTGAAAATTCTTTTCTTTAAGAATGTTGAATATTGGCCCCCACTTTCTTCTGGCTTGTAGAGTTTCTTCCGAGAGATCTGCTGTTAGTCTGATGGGCTTCCCTTTGTGGGTAACCCGACCTTTCTCTCTGGCTGCCCTTAACATTTTTTCCTTCATTTCAACTTTGGTGAATCTGACAATTATGTGTCTTGGAGTTGCTCAAGGAGTATCTTTGTGGCGTTCTCTGTATTTCCTGAATCTAAACGTTGGCCTGCCTTGCTAGATTGGGGAAGTTCTCCTGGATAATATCCTGCAGAGTGTTTTCCAACTTGGTTCCATTCTCCCCGTCACTTTCAGGTACACCAATCAGACGTAGATTAGGTCTTTTCACATAGTCCCATATTTCTTGGAGGCTTTGTTCGTTTCTTTTTATTCTTTTTTCTCTAAACTTCCCTTCTCACTTCATTTCATTAATTTCATCTTCCATCACTGATACCTTTTCTTCCAGCTGATCGCATCTGCTCCTGAGGCTTCTGCATTCTTCACGTAGTTCTCGAGCCTTGTCTTTCAGCTCCATCAGCTCCTTTAAGCACTTCTCTGTATTGGTTATTCTAGTTATGCATTCGTCTAAATTTTTTTCAAAGTTTTCAACTTCTTTGCCTTTGGTTTGAATTTCCTCCTGTAGCTCGGAGAAGTTTGTCTGAAGCCTTCTTCTCTCAACTCATCAAAGTCATTCTCTGTCCAGCTTTGTTCCATTGCTGGTGAGGAGCTGCAGTCCTTTGGAGGAGGAGAGGCACTCTGCTTTTTAGAGTTTCCAGTTTTTCTGCTCTGTTTTTTCCCCATCTTTGTGGTTTTATCTACTTTTGGTCTTTGATGATGGTGATGTACAGATGGGTTTTTGACGTGGATGTCCTTTCTGTTTGTTAGTTTTCCTTCTAACAGACAGGACCCTCAGCTGCAAGTCTGTTGGAATTTGCTAGAGGTCCACTCCAGACCCTGTTTGCCTGGGTATCAGCAGCGGTGGCTGCAGAACAGCAGATTTTCATGAACCGTGAATGCTGCTGTGTGATCGTTCCTCTGGAAGTTTTGTCTCAGAGGAGTACCCAGCCATGTGAGGTGTCAGTCTTCCCCTACTGGGAGGTACCTCCCAGTTAGGCTGCCCTGGGGTCAGGGGTCAGGGACCCACTTGAGGAGGCAGTCTGCTCGTTCTCAGATCAGCTGCGTGCTGGGAGAACCACTGTTATCTTCAAAGCTGTCAGACAGGGACATTTAAGTCTGCAGAGGTTACTGCTGTCTTTTTGTTTGTCTGTGCCCTGCCCCCAGAGGTGGAGAGTACAGAGGCAGGCAGGCCTCTTTGAGCTGTGGTGGGCTCCACCCAGTTCCAGCTTCCCGGCTGCTTTGTTTACCTAAGCAAGCCTGGGCAATGGCGGGTGCCCCTCCCCCAGCCTCGCTGCTGCCTTGCAGTTTGATCTCAGACTGCTGTGTTAACAATCAGGGAGATTCCGTGGGCCTAGGACCCTCCGAGCCGGGTGTGGGATATAATCCCCTGGTGTGCCGTTTTTTAAGCCCTTCGGAAAAGTGCAGTATTCGGGTGGGAGTGACCCGATTTTCCAGGTGCTGTCTGTCACCCCTTTCTTTGACTAGGAAAGGGAACTCCCTGACCCCTTGTGCTTCCCGAGTGAGGCAATGCCTCGCCCTGCTTCAGCTCACGCACAGTGTGCTGCACCCACTGTCCTGCGCCCACTGTCTGGCACTCCCTAATGAGGCGAAGCTGGTACCTTTGATGGAAATGCAGAAATCACCCGTCTTCTGCATCGCTCACGCTGGGAGCTGTAGACTGGAGCTGTTCCTATTTGGCCATCTTGGCTCCTCCTCCTGGAAGTTATTTTTAAAAGTGAAATAAACTCTACCGTATCAGATTATAAGACTGGTTTAAGAATCAAAGATGGGGTCATAAGAAATTTCAAATATGCATGTTCATTTATAAGGACAATTTAGACTACAATTGGGATTGTTTTAGAACGTTGTCGATTATTATTTAAGGAGACAGGAAATAGCAAAAACCAAAGAATAAATAATATTTATTGAGTATACTTGATTAAGTGCCGGGCCTTGTGTTCAGAATGTTATAAAATGATCGTGTGTATTCACTATTATCAACATCTCTAGAAGGTAGATGTTATTATCTCCATTTTACAGGTAAGAAAATTGAGAATCAGAGATTCCTATATCTTGCCCAAGGTTAGACAATCAGTAGCACAGCCAGGAGTCAAACCTAACTAACCCTGTGGGACATCAAAGCTCATGTTTTTTTCTTTGTACCACTATGGCTGGAGCTCTACCATATACATTTATGAGATTAAAACACTGAATTGGCCAGGTGCAGTGTCTCACGCCTCTAATCCCAACACTTTGGGAGGCTGAGGTGGGCAGATCATCTGAGGTCAGGAGTTCAAGACCAGCCTGGCCAACATGGCAAAACTCCATCTCTACTAAAAATACAAAAATCAGCCGGGTATGGTGGCAAGTGCCTGTAATCCCAGCTACTGCGGAGGCTGAGGCAGGAGACTGTCTTGAACTGGGGAGGCAGAGATTGCAGTGAGCCGAGATCATGGCATTGCACTCCAGCCTGGGTGACAAGAGTGAAACTCTGTCTCAAAAAAAAAAAAAAAAAAAAGAAAGAAAGAAAGAAAGAAAGAAAAGAAAAAGAGGAAAACTATTATAAACACATTTTTTTTCTGAAGGAGTTCTGTACTTCTGTACCTGTAATCCATATTTCTTCCCCTCGGAGTAAGAATCTTGTCTGGAGGTGAAATCAGTGCTGATATTGCTACTTCAAATAAAACTACTTTTTGTTTTTCTGCCAGAGAAATTGTAGAGAGTACAGAAAAATATAGATAGAACAAGGGAGAAATCAATCCAATTGATTCCTGATATTGGTGAAAAATTTAGTCCTTGGTTTTGGAAATCACATGACCTAAATTTTACTAATTAAGGAATATATGTCACATATAATTTAGTTTTTTAGTCCAAAAGAGAACTATAACAACAGCTGATATTTACTAAGTGTTTCCTGAGACAATATTTCAATTATCTACAGTCTTTACCACAGTTCAGCAGGATAGGTGTTACCACTCCTGATTTACAAAAAAGAAAACAGAGGTTCTGAGAATAAATTTTCCAAAAGTGGTAGAACCAAAACCCCAGCACAAGTGTATATGACTTCAGAACCTAGCTTATAGGATTGTGAAGAAAAAAAATAGTAAAAAAGTGGGCTTTTTGTTTCCTTTCTGTTTTTTTTTCTAATCAAGTTCTTCAGATTAATTCAATGGATATGTGTGGGTGTGTTTGTGTGTGTGTGTGTGTGTGTCCTTTGGAAAACATGTACATTTAAATGGCCGACCAACTTGTGGGGTTTTATACCAAGATGTCAGTAAAAGCTCACTAAAATTATAGAGAATGTGAAAATCCAATTTAGGAGACAGTAATATAGAAATGTGTTACAATTTAGGCTTGACCAGAACAACAGCAAATGTTTATGTTCTCAAAGTATTCCCTACCCCTTAGAAGCTTGTCCTCAGCTCTGAATGTGTGTTTATTCTTCACAGATCTTGGTTTTATGCTAGTAGTATTTTGAGGTTTTTGTTTTGTTTTGTTTTTGAGACAGAGTTTTGCTTTTGTTGCCCAGGCTGGAGTGTAATGGCATGATCTCAGCTCACTGAAACCTCTGCCTCCCAAGTTCCAACGATTCTCTGTCCTCAGTCTCCCAAGTAGCAGCTGGGATTACAGGTCCCCACCACCGTGCCCAGCTAATTTTTTTTGTAATTTTAGTAGAGACTAGGTATCACCATGTTGGCCAGGCTGGTCTCGAACTCCTGACCTCAGGTGATCCGTCTTCCTCAGCCTCCCAAAGTGCTGGGATTACAGGTGTGAGCCACCGCGCCTGGCCGTATTTTGAGATTTTATATATTGTTTTGTTTTCTATTTTTTCTTTTTATAGATGAGGTCTCAGTCTGTCACCCAGACTGGAGTGCAGTGGTGCCATCAGAGCACCCAGCAGCCTCAAGTTCCTGGGTTCAAGCGATCCTTCTGCCTCAGCCTCCCAAGTAGCTAGGATTACAGGCATGCACCACTGCACTTGGCTGAGTTTTTGTATTTTGATCTGCACTGTTTTCATTAACTGAGCCAAATTTTGTTTAGAATGACCCCCTAAAGAGAAAGTATACCCTTCAAATATTAGTGGGTTTTGTTACTCAATTGCAAAGCTGAATTCTCAATGATGAAATTGTAAGCCCTACTCATTTCTAATGATACCTTTTCTTTAAACAGCACCTGGCACATGCCAGGCTCTCAGTAAGTGCTGAAAAAATGAGTGAAGCCAATTCAACTAGACTGGGAAGTGTGCAGAGGGCAAGTGGATAAAAAGTTCGAATCAACAAATGGGTGAGGGTTTGGCCAGCAGGAGGGGCAATGGTGATGGGAGAAGAAATGAAGGTGACCTAGAAAGACTGCATGTCAGGGAAAGAACTGTGACCTGAGCATTTCTTTCCACATGGATGCTAAGCCCCAAACCCCTGACTCAACAGATGTGATTTAACTTGAAGGCCAAAATGATGATTGTGATCTCCTTTGTAATGACAGCAAATAGAACAAAGAAGAGGCAATGTCCAAGGCACGCTAAGGAAAAGCATTTCCCAAATGCACCTGGGAAATAGCAGGAAAATAAAAACAGTCTTGCTTACTTTCAAACTCTGAAGAAGCCACTGCACTGCTTTTGTCTAAATTTATTGACTGGAGCAAAGTGATTCCATCTAGGAATAAGGCATTGTTAAGAAATTAGCTGATCCTAGTAAGACTAGTGTATCCCCATAATAGAAAAAAAAATCAATGACATAATCCTATTTTTTGCAGCATTTCTTTACCTGTGTTATGTTGGAAGGAGCTGGGAAGCTATGTCAGATGCCATATCTGTGAAGATCCATAGGATCCTGCATGTCTAAAATTTATTGATTTTGGACAAGCCTGAGTTATTCATCTGTGTTTTTAGTCTTTCTCAATTTCTATCTACCTTATAATTATATTGCTAAAATTTTGGTAATTCTTTTGTTCTGTCTTCTTTTACTTCTACCTATAATAGGTTTAAATAGCAGCAGAGTTATTCTGTTTTAGCATTGGTTCTCATAAGTTTAAATTGTAGTGTCTGTTAATTAGCCCCCATCCCCCACATTAGTTTATCTTTTTATTGTGTGTTAGTTTTTCCTTTTTATCCTGTAAAACAAAACAGAAAAATATAGCTAAAATTGATACTGTTTGCCTTGGTTGATATCCTGAACAAAACACTTTTCAGAAGCACATCCCTCCTATCTTTTTGCTTCAATATCTTTTCAGTTTTACTATTGAACACTAGATCAGTGACACAGAGACTTCCTTGTATTAAATTCTCTAGCCACAAATACAAGGCCTGGAAATGTAAATTGAAATATATATATATTTTTTAAGACACAGTTTCACTTTGCCTCCTAGGCTGGAGTGCAGCGGTGTGATCTCCACTCACTGCAACATCCACCTCCCTGGTTAAAGTGATTCTCATGCCTCAACCTCCCGAGTAGCTAGGATTACAGGTGCATGCCACCATGCCCAGCTAATTTTTCTATTTTTAGTAAACATGGGTTTCACCATGTTGGCCAGGCTGGTCTTGAACTCCTGAACTCAAGTGATCTGCCCACTCCTGTCTCCCAAGGTGCTGGGATTACAGGCATGAGCTGCTGTGCCTGGCTGCACTGAGTTATTATTAAGCCAGCAACTCTTTCATAGAGCAAAGGTGGTTATAAAGCACTAATAACATTGAGTACATATTTTTTTTTCTTCCTCCCTCCCCAAGGAATAGATTATTCCAAATTCTCTAGTTTTAAACTATAGATCTATCTTTGACCACTCTTATTCTCAGGTGTAAGGACAGGGTCCAGTTTCAGTTTTCTGCATACGGCTAGCCAGTTTTCCCAACACCATTTATTAAATAGGGAATCCTTTCCCCATTGCTTGTTTATGTTAGGTTTCTCAAAGATCAGATGGTTGTAGGTGTGTGGTGTTATTTCTGAGGCTTCTGTTCTGTTCCATTGGTCTATATATCTGTTTTGGTACCAGTACCATGCTGTTTTGGTTACTGCGGCCTTGTAGTATAGTTTGAAGTCAGGTAGCATGTTGCCTCCAGCTTTGTTCTTTTTTCTTAGGATTGTCTTGCTATACAGGCTCTTTTTTTGGTTCCATATGAAATTTAAAGTAGTTTTTTTCTAATTCTTTGAAGAAAGTCAATGATAACTTGATGGGAGTAGCATTGAATCTATAAATTACTTTGAGGAATATGGCCATTTTCACAATATTGATTCTTCCTATCCATGAGCATGGAATGTTTTTCCATTTGTTTGTGTCATCTCTTATTTCCTTGAGCAGTGGTTTGTAGTTCTCCTTGAAGAGGTCCTTCACATCCCTTGTAAGTTGGATTCCTAAGTATTTTATTCTTTTTGTAGCAATTGTGAATGGGAGTTTGCTAATGATTTGGCTCTCTGTTTGTCTATTATTGGTGTATAGAAATGCTTGTGATTTTTGCACATTGATTTTGTATCCTGAGACTTTGCTGAAGTTGCTTATCAGTTTAAGGAGATTTTGGGCTGAGACAATAGGGTTTTCTAAATATACAATCATGTCTTCTGCAAACAGAGACAATTTGACTTCCTCTCTTCCTATCTGAATACCCTTTATTTCTTTCTCTAGCCTGATTGTCCTGGCCAGAACTTCCAATACTATGTTGAACAGGCATGGTGAGAGAGGGCATCCTTGTCTTGTGCCAGTTTTCAAAGTGAATGCTTCCAATTTTTGCCCATTCAGTATGATATTGGCTGTGGGTTTGTCATAAATAGCTCTTATTATTTAGAGACATGATCTGTCAATACTTAGTTTATAGAGTTTTTAGCATGAAAGGGTGTTGAATTTTATTGAAAGCCTTTTCTGCATCTATTGAGATAATCATGTGGTTTTTGTCATTGGTTCTATTTATGTGATGGATTATGTTTATTGATTTGCATATGTTGAACCAGACTTGCATCCCAGGGATGAAGCCGACTTGATCGTGGTGGATAAGCTTTTTGATGTGCTGCTGAATTCAGTTTTCCAGTATTGTATTGAGGATTTTGCATTGATGTTCATCAGGGATGTTGGCCTGAAATTTTCCTTTTTTGTTGTGTCTCTGCCAGGTTTTGGTATCAGAATGATGCTGGCCTCATAAAATGAGTTAAGGAGGAATCCCTCTTTTTCTATTGTTGGAATAGTTTCAGAAGGAATGGTACCAGCTCCTCTTTGTACCTCTGGTAGAATTCAGCTGTGAATCCATCTGGTCTTGGGCTTTTTTTTTTGGTTAGTAGGATATTAATTACTGCCTCAGTTTCAGAACTTGTTATTGGTCTATTCAGGGATTCAACTTCTTCCTGGTTTAGTCTTGGGAGGGTGTATGTGTCCAGGAATTTACCCATTTCTTCTAGATTTTCTAATTTATTTGCATAGAGATGTTTATGTATTCTCTGATGGTAGTTTGTATTTCTGAGTGATCAGTGGTGATCTCCCTTTTATCATTTTTTATTATGTCTATTTGATTCTTTTCTCTATTCTTCTTTGTTAACCTGGCTAGCAGTCTATCTATTTTGTTAATCTTTTCAAAAAAACCAGCTCCTGGATGGATTGATTTTTTGAAGGGTTTTTGTGTCTCTATCTCCTTCAGTTCTGCTCTGATCTTAGTTATTTCTTGTCTTTTGCTAGCTTTTGAATTTGTTTGCTCTTGCTTCTCTAGTTCTTTTAATTGTGATGTTAGGGTGTCAATTTTACATCTTTCCCACTTTCTCCTGTGGGCATTTAGTGCTATAAATTTCCCTCTAAACACTGTGTCAGTTGTGTCTCAGAGATTCTGGTACGTTGTGTCTTTGTTCTTATTGGTTTCAAAGAACATCTTTATTTCTGACTTCTTTTCATTATTTACCAAGTAGTCATTCAGGAGCAGGTTGTTCAGTTTTCATGTAGTTGTGTGGTTTTGAGTGAGTTTCTTAGTGCTGAGTTCAAATTTGATTGCACTGTGGTCTGAAAGACTGTTATAATTTCCATTCTTTTGCATTTGCTGAGGAGCGTTTTACTTCCAATTATGTGATTGATTTTAGAATAAGTGCTATGTGGTGCTGAGAAGAATGTATATTCCGTTGATTTGGGGTGGAGAGTTCTGTAGATGTCTATTAGGTCCACTTGGTCCAGAGCTGAGTTCAAGTCCTGAATATCCTTGTTAATTTTCTGTCTCGTTGATCTGTCTAATGCTGACAATGGGTTGTTAAAGTCTCCTATTGTTATTGTGTAGGAGTCTAAGTATCTTTGTAGGTCTCTAAGAACTTGCTTTATGAATCTGGGTGCTCCTGTATTGGGTGCATATATATTTAGGATAGTTAGCTCTTCTTGTTGAATTGATCCCTTTACCATTATGTAATGCCCTTTTTTCTTAATCTTTGTTGATTTAAAGTCTGTTTTATCAGAGACTAGGATTGCAACACCTGCTTTTTTTTTTTTTTTTGGCTTTCCATTTGCTTGGTAAGTCTTCCTCCATTCCTTTATTTTGAGCCTATGTGCGTCTTTACATGTGAGATGTGTCTCCTGAATATAGCACACTGATGGGTCTTGACTCTTTATCCAATTTTCCAGTCTATGCCTTTTAATTGGGACATTTAGCTTGTTTACATTTAAGGTTAATATTGTTATATGTGGATTTGATCCTGTCATTATGATGCTAGCTAGGTATTTTGCTCATTAGTTGATGCAGTTTCTTCATAGTGTTGATGGTCTTTACAATTTGGTATGTTTTTGCAGTGGCTGGTACTGGTTGTTCCTTTCCATGTTTAGTGCTTCCTTCAGGAGTTCTCGTAAGGCAGGCCTAGTGGTGACAAAATCTTTCAGCATTTGCTTGTCTGTAAAGGATTTTCTTTCTCCTTCACTTATGAAGTTTGGCTGGATATGAAATTCTGGGTTTAAAATTCTTTTCTTTAAGAACGTTGAGTATTGTTCCCCACTCTCTTCTGGCTTGTAGGGTTTCTACAGATAGATCTGCTGTTAGTCTGATGGGCTTCCCTTTGTGGGTAACCCGACCTTTCTCTCCGGCTGCACTTAAAATATTTTCCTTCATTTCAACCTTGGTGAATCTGATGATTATGTGTCTTGGGGTTGCTCTTCTTGAGGAGTATCTTTGTGGTGTTCTCTGTATTTCCTGAATTTGAATGTTGGCCTGTCTTGCTACGTTGGGGAAGTTCTCCCGGATAATATCCTGAGGAGTGTTTTCCAACTTGGTTCCATTCTCCCCTTCACTTTCAGGTATACCAATCAAATGCAGGCTTGGTCTTTTCACATAGTCCCATATTTCTTGGAGACTTTATTCATTCCTTTTCACTGTTTTTTCTCTAATGTTGTCTTCACCCTTTATTTCATTAAGTTGATCTTCAATCTCTGATATCCTTTCTTCTGCCTGGTCAGTTTGGCTATTGATAATTGTATATGCTTCACGAAGTTCTTGTGCTGTGTTTTTCAGCTCCATTAGGTCATTTATGTTCTTCTCTAAACTGGTTATTCTAGTTAGCAATTCCTGTAACATTTTTTCAAGATTCTTAGCTTCCTTGCATTGGGTTACAACATGCTCCTTTAGCTCAGAGGAGTTTGTTATTACCCACCTTCTGCAGCCTATTTCTGTCAACTCGTCAAACTCATTCTCTGTCTTGTTTTGTTCCCTTGCTGGAGAGGAGTTGTGATCCTTTGGAGAAGGGGCATTCTAGTTTTTGCAACTTTCCAGCCTTTTTGCACTGGTTTTTCCTCATCTTCGTGGATTTTTCTATCTTTGGTCTTTGTTGTTTGTGACCTTTGGATGGAGTTTTTGCATGGTCATCCTTTTTGTTGATGTTGATGCTACTGCTTTCTGTTTATTAGTTTTCCTTCTGACAGTCAGACCCCTCTTCTGCAGGTCTGCTGGAGTTTGCTGGGGGTCCACTCCAGATCCTGTTTGCCTGGATATCACCAGCAGAGGCTGCAGAATAGCAAAGATTGCTGCCTGCTCCTTCCTCTGGAAGATTTGTTCCAGAGGAGCACCTGCCAGATTCCAGCTGGGGCTCTCCTGTATGAGGTGCCTGTTGACCCCTGCTAGGAGATGTCTCCCAGTCAGGGGCACGGGGTCAGGGACCCACTTGAGGAGGCAGTCTGTCCATTAGAAGAACTTGAGCGCTGTGCTGGGAGATCCTGCTGGTCTCTTCAGAGCCAGCAGGGAGGAACGTTTAAGTCTGCTGAAGCTGGCCCACAGCCGCCCCTTCCCCCAGGTGCTTTGTCCCAGTGCGATGGGAGTTTTATCTATAAGACCCTGACTGGGGCTGCTGCCTTTCTTTCAGAGATGCCCTGCCCAGAAAGAAGGAATCTAGAGAAGCAGGCTGGCTACAGTGTCCTTGTGGCACTGCATGGGCTCTACCCAGTCTGAACTTCCCAGTGGCTTTGTTTACACTGTGAGGGGAAAACCACCTACCCAAACCTCACTAATGGTGGATGCCCTTCCCTGCACCAAGCTTGGGCCTACCAGGTCGACTTCAGACTGCTGTGCTGGAAGCAAGAATTTCAAGCCAGTGGACCTTAGCTTGCTGGGCTCTGTGGGGGTGGGATCCACTGAGCAAGAGCACTTGGTTCCCTGGCTTCAGCCCCCATTCCAGGGGAGTGAATGGTTCTGTCTCGCTAGGGTTCCAGGTGACACTGGGGTATGAAAAAAAACTCCTGCAGCTAGCTCAGCATCTGCCTAAACAGCAGCCCAATTTTGTGCTTGAAACTCAGGGCCCTTGTGGTGTAGGTACCCGAGGGAATCTCCTGGTCTGTGGGTTGTGAAGACTGTGTGAAAAGCATAGTATCTGGGCCGAATAGCACTGTCCCTCACATCACGGTCCCTCACGACTTCCCTTGGCTAGAGGAGGGAGTTCCTGACCCCTTGTGCTTTCCAGTGAGGTGATGCCCCACCCTGCTTCTGCTTGCCTTCTGTGGGCTGCACCTGCTGTCTAATCAGTCCCAGTGAGATGAACTGGGTACCTCAGTTGGAAATGCAGAAATCATCCACCTTCTGCATTGGTCTTGCTGGGAGCTGCAGACCGGAGCTGTTCCTATTCAGCCATCTTGCCCAGGCTACATTTAATTTTTTCATGTTAGCCATTATTATATGAAATTTCTACTCAAATCTTTTCTCCTCATTTTAAAAAATGGGTTGTCTTATTATTATTGAGTTGTAAGAACACATTATTTATTCAGGATATGGTCTTTTATTGGATTTATTATTTCCAAATATTTTCTCAATGTCAATGTGTTGTCTTTTCATTTCTCTACTGGTATTTTTAAAGTTAAATTTTGATTCTGTCCAATTTACTAATAAAAATTTACTGTTACGCATTTTGTGTTCTATTTAAAAATTCTTTGCCTAACCCAAGGACATGAAAATTTTCTTCTTTTTTTTTTTTTTCCTAGAAGCTTTATATTTTTAACCTTTACATACAGATTCAGCTATCTTGAACTAATTTTTTTATATGGAGAGAGAGATAAATGTATGAATTCATCTTTTTGCATATAGACATCTAAATGTCTCAGCACCATTTGTTGAAAAGACAATTCTTACCCCATTGCTTGAAAATTCATTAAAAATTAACGGACTGTCATTAGCTTTTGATGGTTCCATACAGCCTGCTGAATCCATTCAAACTCTCCAGCCTGACTTTGTGGCTCTCCCACCCCCAGCCTCAGGGATACATCACAATGTATTAACACTCAGTATTATCTTTCACTCCTCTCCATTACTCTGTGTACCAATTAACCTAAATCAGTTGATTCCTAGTATGTGTTATGCTTTCCAATGAAATCTAGTTACTTACTTTACAACATTATTCCGCCTCATTTTTAGATGTTTAAATCTTACCTATTCATTTTAAATCCCACTTCATGGCTGGCTCTTCTGAGAAGCCTTCCTCCTACTAGATGGGATCTTTTCTCCTCTGAATGACCATGGCTCTCAACTTGTATGCCTTTGGATATGTGCCATTTTCTATTTTGCATTATAATAGTTCTGAAAATGCCTGTCTCCATTGTGGAATTAAAAGTTTTTTGAGAGAGGGTTTGATTTGTGTTCAGTTGATACTCAATCACTGTTTTTTGATTGAATGAATGAATAATATTACATGTAACTGCCCTTACAGGTTTAACAGTAAGCTATTTGCTGATAGACTGCACTATCTGAACTCAAAGCCCAGGAACTTTGCTTAAGTCCACAAAGATTTGCTAATTCTTCACGAGAGAGTTACTGAGTCTGATTAAAATGTGTTTTCTTTTATCAGAAGGGTAAGACTCTTATCTGCTGTTTTCCAAGGTCTTGGTGACTGTTTTTGAACATGAAGATCAAAGGGCAGTGCCCTTCCCCCCAACCAATTGTAAGACATTTCAGAAAGTTAAATGTGAGGAATATTGTATTCAAATGTGAATTATATGAATGTGAATACTGAACAGTATTCACAGTTACACATTTGACATTTTGAAACAGTGGCAAGACAAATGTATTAGATTTACAGGTAGTTGTGAATGTTTCCATTGCTCAGTCAATATATTTTTTCTTTTCATAGCAACATTTGGAAGGTAGGTGCTCTGACTCACACCTTTTCATTTCTTGGCTTTCCAAAGAGCCGAGAAAAAAAATTTTTTTGACCCTTGAAAACACTAGATGCATAAGAAAACAGCATGGCAAGGAAACTTACTACATTCTGACTTCAGGAATTTGCCAGCATGGAAGGGTCTTTTCAAAAGTGAGGTGGAAATTCAGGATAAAACAGAGAGATTTAAAGTAGGGTGATCTGGAGAGTAACAAAAAGATCAGAGTAGGGGTGGGGAGGATTATGGAAGAAAGAAGAAAAGATGAGATGGAGTGAAGAAGATGGTAAAGTCTTTCCATAGACTTAAATAAGCTTTAGGCAATTATCGGAACTTTCAAGGGAATTATCTGAACTGCACATCTAAATTTGTTGAGGTTCCCCCATTGTAGCTAGTATCTGGTTAAGGTTTGCCTGGTAAACTTGCTTTTTTTGTGCCATGAGTGGCTTACAAGTCGAAATGATTCAGTGAAATCTTCAAAGTAAATCTGTGTCCACCAAAGCAGTTCACAGACCTGTTTGCAACTTTTCTATCCGTCTCCTAGACTATCTCCGATGATGCAGTCTTTGGACATTACATCTGCTATTTGAACACAGAACTCATTTTATCAAAAGAAACAAGAGTGCATTCCAGTCCACAATTTTAATGAATATCTTGGTAAGGATTCCAGACTCTTCCCTAGAAGATAAAAAGTTAAGTAAGCAAGTCATATACACACCTGGCTTTGACAATTGAATAATTAAAGAGATCGGCAAAGATAAATCTTTGGTTGCCAGAAAAATCATTAGAAGCACTATGTTGTTTTGTACATCTTAATGCAGCTCAAAATCTTAAAAAAATTTCAAAACGGAAATAAAAATATTGAATCACTATGATAATCAGTTTGTAAACTGAAACAAGCAATGAGAAAGAAAAAATTGGCAGATGGTGGGGGTGGACGAAAAAGTGGCAAATTCACGTGAGTGATGGAAACTCCCAAGTGCTGTATCTTATGCTTGGTACATGAGTGTTTGAGTTCGGGTGTTAGTTTGTCAATGGCTATGTGTCAGAACTGAGCATAAGGGTTTTTAGATATCCTTTATCATACTCAAACAAACCTTTCTCATTCCACAGTCAGATATTTTAGAATCCACAAAAACACAGAATTCACTGGGAGGAAACTACTTTGTAGTTACCTGATGAAGCAATAGGAATCACACAACTTTCATTGAACTGCTGGGGGTAAAGTGGATTGCTGGCCTTTTATCTTTTATCTCTGAAATTGGCCCCCCAGCAGTAGCTTTGTTAAATCTGACACATCTTGAATTTGCCTTTTTTAAATTGCAAATATAGCAGCTAGTGGTTTTATCTTTTTCAGTACCTATACTTCCACATTTTGAAGAGACTATTTTTAATGAGACTATTGTTAGCTACTTTAAAACATGTGGCATTCAGTTTTTAACAGGTTCAATTGGACGTCTTCCCCCAAGTGCAGAGGAAGCATTTATAAAACAAACAAATAAAAGGTAAGAGGAATAAATATGGGGTATTTGTGATGTACGGCGATACATTTTGAAAAGAGCAACATTCATAATAAGAAAGGGAAGTTTATCCAAAACACTGAAAATAAGCAATAACCTGGGTCCAGATACTTTTCTATTCTCCTGGCACCTGAAGAAATATTAATTTTATTTTAGCTAGAAAATAAACACACACACACAAAGACACAGACCCATACACACAGCATGTACATTTGTTTTCTAAAGAAAACAACCTTCTGGTTCTGCTTTTTTAATATGAGGCTGACTGAACAATTGTTAATATTTTACTTTTACATTTGTAGATGTTTTATCTTAGGAGATAGCTGTCAGATTCAATCAGCTTTTGAAATCGGTTTTTGCAGAAGATAACTTAACTTTAATGTATTGTATTTCCTCCCGCAATTACTAATTACTGAAGATTAATGTTTTCAAATAAGGCCTTTTCTCCATATAATCCGTCTCCTCTTCCTGCTTCAATCTAGCAAGAAACCTGCTGAAAGAGGTCATAATCCTATTGTTTGCAATATTATAGCCTATGACACTGGGAATGTTTAGGGTGTAATGACTGCAGTAAGAATCTTTGTGAGCAAGTAGAAAGTACAGATCATGAAAGAAATTAAGTTTCTCTGGTGGGTGATTTAACTGTGATGGGTTTTCTTGTCAGTTTGTTAACAATCTGCCTTTCAATGAATCTCGAAGCAGACTCAAAGCTGATTAAAAGCAGCATAGACTATAAGTAATATTGTGTAAACACTACCAAAGCGGGAGTTTCTTTATTACTCAGCTCTTATCTCTAAATCACACCAATTGTGTTAAATCTGACTGAGAGAGGCATGTTCTTCTTGGGTTTGGCCACCATAGAAATTTTACCTGAATTGCAGACATACAGGTATGGACCAGTTATTCTCTACTTTTTTAATTTATGTCCACGCTTTTATGATTTTTGACATATATACATTTATTATATAACTTTCACAATCTTATAATTTGTGGGCTTTATTTAAAATTTGTTATAATGATCCACTTTCAGTTACATGCATATTTATTTAATGTCTTGAATTAATATTTTGGTGTTGGTAACATTAATATGATCAAATTTTGAGAACTCCATTAAAATGCTATATACCTGAATAAAATGTATTTGATATTTCCCCCAAATAACAATTTTTTTTTTTTTTTTTTTTTTGAGACGGAGTCTCGCTCTGTCGCCCAGGATGGAGTGCAGTGGCGCGATCTCGGCTCACTGCAACCTCCGCCTCCCGGGTTCACGCCATTCTCCTGCCTCAGCCTCCCCAGTAGCTGGGACTACAGGCGCCCACCAACACGCCCGGCTAATTTTTTTTTGTATTTTTAGTAGAGACGGGGTCTCACCGTGTTAGCCAGGATGGTCTCGATCTCCTGACATCGTGATCTGCCTGCCTCGGCCTCCCAAAGTGCTGGGATTACAGGCGTGAGCCACCATGCCCGGCAAAATTTTTTTTTTCAGAATGAAGACGGTCCAGAGTTGAATGGTGAAATATACAAAACATTTAAGGAAAAGAGCATTGCTTGCTTTATTCCTCAGAACTACTTTGTTGATTCTCATGAAGAAATAAAGAAATCATCTGCATTCATTTTTATATACCAAAATCTTATTTATTTTTAAAGCAAATAAGAATCTGTAACAATACAAATGCAATGTGTTAACTCAGTACACATGTAAACATTTATTTTTATTTGCAACAATGCAGAACTCTATAAAAACTAATATAGCAACTATAAATGTATTTGGAAAGAGGTTGCTGAATGTTCTTCTGCTGTTGTGGGCTGTAAAGGTATTTCCTTGCCTCTCTTTCTTGTGATTGCTCAAAAAGCAATCAATGTTGAATCTTAAGAAATTTGTTACTAATTTAGAGTCTTGAAATTGTACTGAGACACTTCCTTGAATCTAAACACTAATCCCATTGAATTTTACATCTTTTGTAGAGGATAACATTAGATAATTGCATGGAAATGCTAAGGATAATTACATTTAAAAGTGTGGAATGACCAACAAATGTAAGATGTGATCGTCATTATGTATTTAAAGTTGAAGAATTAAAAACAAATATTTGTCATTAAAAATAAACCAATATAATTAAGGACAATAAGGACTTATAATTCATTGGAAAATAATGGTAATTCATGGGTTCATACTGATAATAGAGAGCTAGCTAGAGAAGCAGAGAAATGGTGGAGGAGAGAAAGTTCTTTCTCTTTTAACTTTAATTTAGATTCAGGGATATATGTACAGGTTTGTTACATAGGTAAACTTGTGTCATGGAGGGTTGTTGTACAGATTATTTCATCACCCAGATACTAACACTAGTATCTAGTAGTTATTTTTTCTCATCCTCTGCCTCCTCCCACCTTCTACCCTCAAGTAGACCCTAGCGTCTCTTCCCCTCTTTGTGTCCGTAAGTTCTCATCATTTAGTTTCCACTTATAAGTGAGAACATGTGGTATTTGGTTTTATGTTCCTGCAAAAGACATGATCTCATTCTTCCTGATGACTGCATAGTATTTTGTGGTGTATATGTACCACATTTTCTTTAACCAATCTGTCATTGATGGGCATTTAGGTTGATTTGATTTCTTTGCTATTGTGAATAGTGCTGCAATGAACATTTGTGTGTGTCTTTATGGTAGAATGGTTTATATTCCTTTGGATATGTACCCAGTAATGGGATTGCTGGGTCAAATGGTAATTCTGTTTCTAGCTCTTTGAGGAATCGCCGTACTGCTTTCCACAATGGTTGAAATAATTTACAGTCTCACCGACAGTGTATAAGCATTCCCTTTTCTCTGCAACCTCACCAGGCAAGTTCAACCTCAGAGCCTTGATGAAAGCTACAGTAAATTTCCCTATAGGTGTACCCCTTCTATCAGCTTTGAAACCATTGTGATAGACTTGGATAGACTTCACATTTCTTAAGTTTCTCCATGAGAAGAATGACATGAGACTGGCCAGTGGAGAAAGAAGGACAGAGGATCTACAGAGAACCTGCCGGTGACAACGGGGTAAGGAAGGGAATAAAGCCTAAGCCTGGAGGAGCAAACTAGAATCTCAGGCAAAACAGACTTCAGATTAAAAAAAAAAAAAAAAGGGAGCAATCACTCCCGCTGGCCAGATACTGTGGTACCAAAGAGGAGCAGAGAAAGAAGGAATGTCTAGTACCTGTGATAGAATCCAGCTGGAGCTACGCATCTTGAGTCTCCAGAATCTGTGTAAAAGGGGCTGGCAGGTGGGCCACCAACATGATGTGTGGTAAGGTAAGTTTTCCAAATGTAACTCCTAGAACATGGTTGTCTAGGAGTATCAATTTAAAAATCATTATTTCTTTTTATTTTTATTTTTTATTTTTGAGATGGAGTTTCACTCTTGTAGCCCAGGCTGGAATGCAATGCCGCAATCTCTGTTTACTGCAGCCTCTGCCTCCTGGGTTCAAGCGATTCTCCTACCCTCCCGAGTAGCTGGGATTACAGGTGCCCGCCACCACACCTGGCTAATTCTTTGTATTTTTAATAGAGATGGGATTTTGCCACGTTGGCCAGGCTTGTCTTGAGCTCCTGGCCTCAGCTGATCCACTCGTCTCAGTCTCCCAAAGTGCTGGGATTACAGGCGTGAGCCGCCACACCCGGCCTTACGAATCAAAATCTGGAACCTCACTTTCACATCTGCTGAGTTACAAATCTTAAGACAGACCTTGAAAGCAATGTTTTTAATAAGCAAACCAGGTGATTCTTATCCGGCAAGAGATGGAAATGCTGCTGGAAACAAAGATAGCAGAATGTTTTAAAAAGAGTTTAATGGTGTTATGAGCAAATTCAAAAGAGAAGAAAGTGGATATTTGCTACCATGCTTCAATTTTGAGTAAAAATTTAAATGGACAGCAATACAGATCTGCAGCCTCTTCTTTACAATTCCAAAATTCATAAAATTCAACATTGATGTAATACCAAAACCTGATCTGCTGCAGATGCTGCAGGGAGTGTTATGTAATATGCCCTGCATTCACTGTACAGTATTGCCTTTCTTAAATCCGAAAAACACTGAATTCAGGAAAACATTTGGCCTTGAGGTTTTTGGATAAGATTATGCTCGTATAATTATGCTAATAGCAATAGCTAATATTTATTGAGATTGACTACGGTGCTGGTCATTACAGAAGCTCCATTTTATTAATTATCGTGTTCAGTAATTGTAGTAACCCTGTGGTGTTGGTTGTGCAGTATTAACATTCCTCATTTTATAGAAAAGGGAAAGTGAAGCTTTGAAAACTTAAATAACTTCAATGCTCAAGGTCACACAGCTTGTAAAATGACAGAGAAAGAATTCAATCCTAAACTCTGACTCCATAGTACACATGTCAACCATGCCATGATTCAAAACAAGGCCCAGATTAAATATAAAACTGTTCATCCTCCTGTGTACGCAGTGATATACAGACTGAGCAAGACAAAAAAAAAAAAAAAAAAAAAGAAATGGCAGATACTGGTTTCTGTGGGCTCCTCAGAGTAGGAAATCATCTCTGAGACAAATGATGCAATTAACTCAGTGCTTAACTTAGGTTGTTGATTTTATCTAGTGGAAATAGCATGCTTTTAAGAGGCCAGGCCATCCCTGAAAAACTGGGCATGAATAACTGAAACATTCAGACTTGTAAGTTTACCAATATGACTTCACATTGGAAAAGCACCTGGAGATGGACAAATAAAATATTCTGAAAAATCTATTATCTCTTTAATAGCTTCTGCATGCGTATCTCCCCTATACACTCTCACGTGGGTGACTACAGAAGCATCCACATGCTGATATACATACACATTCAGACAAGGTCCTAGTAAAAAATATGCCTGCTTCTGACAAGAAACGAGAACCAGCTTCATTCTGTCATTTGTAGCCTAGGATATCTAAATCAATAACCTTCAAAGTAAGATATTGGAGTAAGAAAATACTAGAACTTCTGTTTATGGATTTGTGTGTGTGTGTGTGTGTGTGTGTGTGTGTGTGTGTTATTAAAAATTTCATTTTCAGTTTTTTATGTGGTGGACAATATATTAGTACAGTGATTCATTCTTCTTATAACTATATACACTTTAAAAAGGGTAGGAAAGAATAAAGTCTGGCATCCACTAAGCAAGATAAAGAAACAAAAAATGTTCTTTTTTTTTTTTTTTTTTTTTGAGACAGAGTCTTGCTCTGTTGTAATGGCCCCATCTCAGCTCACTGCAACCTCCGCCTCCTGGGTTCAAGCAATTCTTCTGCCTCAGGTTCCAGAGTAGCTAGGATTACAGGGGCCCACCACCATGCCCAGCTAATTTTTGTCTTTTCAATAGAGACGGGGTTTCGCCATGTTGGCCAGGCTGGTCTCGAACTTCTGACCTCAGGTGATCCGCCTGCCTCAGCCTCCCAAAGTGCTGGGATTACAGGTGTGAGCCACCATACCTGGCCCAAATGAATGTTCTTATTCAGCAAATAGATAGAAAGAGTGAGATAAATACATATTATCTGGCATTCAGTCTACAAAATTGTCAGATTGAAGCATCACACAATAGCTCATGCTTATAGTTGTGTACAATAGGCTTTGCATAATTCCAGAGGACCCTTCATATCATGGTCATTTTAAATCTCTACACTTACTCTATTTTTTTCTGCAAATGGCAGAAAAGGATGGCTTTTGTAAGTGTCTGAGGTAGGGGCATGACTGGTTCCCCTGCAGGGCATACCACACTCCCCTGTCACTCAAACCTGTGCTTCTGTCCAGAGATTATGAACATGGGGTCATGAGAACATATATGCTGGTTCTTCTGTCATGATGTATCTTCTCCATTCCAGAGAAACAGTGTTAGGCTTTGTTCATTGTATTGTTGAAATCAAGATTCACTATACTGACATTTCCTTAATTTACTGATTTAGTAAATTATAACATAAATTATAATTTACTGTGATCATATATTATATGTGATCATAACAAATAATGAAGAAGAAGAATAAAGCAATGTCTTGCGTGATGTAGTTTTAGTGAAAGTATCAATTTAATTCACTGTTTTAGAATTGTTCCTGGGAATTGAGTAAATTTATTAGTTTGCAGTGTTAGGAATGCACCATTAAAAAAAAGTGACAACTGCCTTCTCCAAATTTATCATGTTTCTAAAAGCTCCCCATATTGGGTGTGATTCTTCTAGGTTCACAAAATTAAACTTACTTTATGAGGCTTGATGCTTTCTTTGTTATAACTCAGATTTTAATTCTGTCCTCTCTTTTCCAGTTTGGTGAGGCATTGTTTGAATGGAGGCAAAAAAATGGAAATAAAGAAATTATATCTTTTCTCTAATATGCATTAATTCAATGTCTGCAAGCAAATGGGGACATTTTTTGAATGGTGTTTTAGTTACTTCCTAGGTAAAATATGTTTTCTCAGGTAGTTAACTGACATTGTCTCTTAGACACAGAGCTCAACATTTTAAACCTTGTCTGACACATCTTTCAGATTGTGGACATCTCTAGAGAGCAAATACTGTACCCTCTCTTTGCTCTTTTTCGTAAAATGCCCATTATTGTATAATGCAAAATATTACAGTATATGGTCAGTATAAAGCTTAATTGATGTTTAATAGTCATATGAAGTATTTACTTTGAAGAAAGAAATGCAACTTATTTAGATAAGTAGCAAAATGGGTTTTCTGCTAAGCTAAGTTGGTAAAATGCTTTGTCATAATATCATATTCAACAAGAAATAGTTATTGTGATCTCACAAGAGACTTTCTGGGATAATGAGAATGTAAAGTATTTTGTTATGGAAAATGCCCATATGAAGTCTTTAGTTTTTACGTTCTGTGGTTTAGTTTTTAATTTATGTGGCTTAGCTTTTAATTCATGTTCTCATCCACAGAAATTCTGTGCAGAGAAATACCTGTAATCAAATCCTAGCTCTGTCATGTACCAACCATGTGAACTTGACTAAATTGCTCGACTACTCAGAGTCTCAGTTTTCTCATCTATAATTTGGGAAATATAGTGTCTTCCTCAAAAGACAGATGTAAAGATTAAAACATATAACTTACAAAGGGCACTTAATATAATTCCTGATACCTACTATGTGAATAGAGAATTTATATCGATGTTTATATTAATGTCTGGGCACCTTTCTCTGTGCCATCTCAGTAAGGTACCACTTTTCCATCTCATTAAATTAAACTTCTTTCTCTGGTTCTAAGTGATTACAAGGAGATCCCATGCTCAGGCCTCCAATTACCTTGTTTCTCATTAGACTGCAGGACACCTTTTGAAGTTAATTTCAGTTCTGCTTTTAAAAAAGCAGATATCAAAAGAAAGAATAGGGTACAATCATTGGATTTAATGTTTCTTGAATTATAAAAATATTCTATGAGTGTTTTCCCAGTCATAGTACTGGGTTCATTTAAGAGGAAAAAATATTTGAAAGAATTAATCCAAGTTAAATAGAATCCGCTTAATAAGCTCCCATTAGGGGGTGCCATGTGCTGCAAAGGACTGTATTATTGAGCGTTTATATAGCAGCTTGCTTTACAAAGTAGTTTATAATTTATAATTACTTTTATAAGTAATTTATAATTCATAAAGATGGTTTAAGCTAAATTTTTATTGTTATCTCCATCTCTTAAATGGAAAAACAAAGGTAGTTAACTAAAGTCATGTAATATGTCTAAGACCAAAAAGAAACTTCCTCTGAGCCATTACTTTTCCAAGAGGAGATATGATCTTCATCTCTATCTCACAAGGACAAAGAAGAGGTAAAATAAAACAGTAACACCCTATTTATCATAGTCACATTACAGAGTCACTGTTATGAGTGTTTATTTCTTTAGGGTAATCAGCTAATATTTGAATTTTGCTTTTTATACTAGATATGCAGAATCTTTGCCTGGCTCATTTGCCTGCATCAGAAACATCTTTCACAATAATCTAAGTGAAACAGGGGAGTTTCTTTCCAAAAACAAACCTTTTCATCATGTATCCCAACCCTTACCACTCTGCAATTAGCAGTGCAATCCCTGTAAGCAGTAGTTTAAGGGGTGCGGTGAGGAGTGAGGTACTTCCTGCAGAGGTCTAGAAGTCCCCAAATTGGTCTAGGAACAGCATCCCCCTCTTCCTCCCTCACAAATTGGTCTTTCCTACTTCAGAAAGTCTAGTGCATAAGGACATTTTCTGTCCTTGAAAGTCAACTCTTGATTACCCGTGAACAGAATTTCTCATTAATTAACTTCATTCTCTTCCTCATGCTATCCAAATTAATTTCCCAGTACTCCAAAATGCTATGTGCCCAAGGTTAGTCAAAATAGGTAAACATACTTCAGAAAATAAAAATGTATTTACTTAATATTCACAGCAATGGTTTGTGTTTATATTATGTATTTATTAATATATTTATATATACAATATATATATTCAGTAAAAATTACTACCTTATATATTATATATTTATATATTTGTGTTTATTATATATAATATACACATATATAATATATAGGCATATGCATTATGTATAAATATATTCATATATGTAACAATATAATATACATATTGATTTATAAGTGATAAACATATATAGTTGTTTTATAGTAGTAAATGATAATAAACACATACTTTTACTATATGAACATACAGTAGGTAACAAATGTATATATAATATATAAATATAAGCATTTTTTGCAGAACTGTATATTTTTATATCAGTATATTAGTTTTAATATTACAGATAAATTTATTTACAATTATTGAAACCATTTGAAAATAAGTTTCAGGCATCATGACACGTGAAATACTTCACTCTTGAACATAGCATATATCTCCTGAGAATAAGGCCATTTTTCCATATAACTATATTACAATAACATAAAAGCAAAACAGTAATTCCTAATATGATATAATACCCAGTTTATATTGAAATTTCCCAAATTGTGACAGGAATGTCTTTGATAGCTGTTTCTGTTTTGTTTTGAACTAGAAATCAGATTGGGTTCAGTTCCTAGATTTAATTCCAAACTTATTTGACCACCAAACTCTCCCCTTCTCCAAAAAGCTTGATGAGTGTATGTGGTTGAACATACCTAGAGACTCAAGAATGCGGAGCATAGAATAGTTTCTGAAAAATGGCCATCCAGCACAAGACTGGCACACAGTGTGAATTAAGTAACAAATTGTCAAATGAACAATAGGTTGGAAGCAAGGTCAGCCAAGGAAGCATGACAAAGGCATTGCTCATCAGGCAGGTGCAACACTGGGAGGAAAGAGTAGGTAATATGAGGTACTATGAGACGAGGTGATGGCACCAGGCATACATGTTTCCTTCTTTACAATTTGCCCCTCTGATTTCATGCTTGCATTAGACTAAAATACCTGTATAGTCAATTCTATAAACTCAAATGAATATCCACAGGCACACACTTGCACACACTCATACAGAGGTGGAGTGGAGAAGAAAAAGAGAGGGAAATAAATAAAGGAAGTTGGGAAAGGAAAAATAAAGAGAAGAAGGGAAATAGTACTTTTGTTACCCAGTGTTTCAAGTTAAGAACAAAGCCTTTAGGACATCAGCATACATTTTGAAGAGTTGCCAGTAAATTTCAAAGTAAGTGGTTTTTTTCTTCTGTGAATGAAACTCATAAGCACTTCCTCTCCTACTTGAAGGGCAAAAGGCCAATCAAGGAATCAGGAAAGGATTTTCAATATGAAGGCTTTTGATCAGACTTTTCTCTCTAGCCTACGTAAGGTGATAATAACTCTGTTTGATATCTCTTGGGGTCAGAATATTGATGATGATAGATTAGACACACTATGGCTGCAGCTACAGGAGTTAGAAGATTTTCTCTGCAACTCTATGGTTTAATACTTTTATACTTACATATACCTAGCAAATAATCCTTCTGAAGGTTCTTTGGATTATCTGTAAAGATGGATGGACTTTTACCATAAGGACTTAGTAAGACAGGGCATGAAAGCACCTAGCCTAGGGTCTAGCACAGCAAAATGTGCTTAATAGATGCTGCCTTATATGATGAATGCTTTTTTCCCTTGAGTCACATCTTGGGGGGAGCAGGTTGCAGTATATGAGAAACAAGCTATGATTCTACTTGGTAGGAAGCAGAATACGAAGAAGTGACAGAGATGCACAGGTTTCTATGACTCGCAATTCAACTCTCATCAACAGAAGTGGTAGGGATTTTTTATGGGAAAATGATCCAAGACTTTAACCTGGTAAATTTCACTTTGAGTCTTTAGACTACTGTCGTCAAATTTAAAGAATTCTTTAAAAATGCTTTACTTATTCCTTCTTGTCTTTTTTTTTTTTTTTGCAATTTTATAACTTTATTTGAGGTATTTGACGGTCAGCGATTAGTTCTCCTCCACATTGACTCTCTGTAGATTTTTGAAAGTGGTTAACAGGTACATGGGTAACCAAAGTATAGAGCTTATTTGGTGAATCTTCATCCTCATTACATTTCCTGGACAACCAAACACGGATTCGGTTTGGGACTTTCCTTATTCCTTTGGCCCAGACAGCTGTGTTGAGCCTGGTATCAATGTGCACATCTGGAGTTCCCATTTCCTTCATGGCAAATTTCTGAATCGCTTTGAGTGCCCGAGGGGGACTCTTCTTGAAGCCCACTCCATGGATGGGGCTTGTGAATGTTGTTGGTGTATTCTCGGGTCACCACCTCGTTGATGACAGAACGGCCCTTTTTCTTCTCTCCACCCTTCTTTGCGGGAACAATTCTGCCAGGTCCAAGTTGGAAAGGAAGAGTGCGAGGGATTCCTTGTCATCCTTCTCTAAGTGTACAAGAGTTACAATATCACTAGTATAATGTATCTCCAGTAGGTTTGCAATAGGGTAAACATTATTGCATGCTAAATGGCATTTTAGGGCTTTAATTCAACTCATCTTTAAAACAAGTAAGCAGGTTTGACAATATGTGTTTAGAGTGTGGTAAATTTTAAAAAAAAATTTATCAATCAAAGCTTTAATAGCATTGAGTTAGAAGGCATGTCTTTCAAGATTCTGAAATTCTTAATGAATTTGGTCTTAAATTCTATCTTGCCAATCAATTTAATGTGAACATTCATATATAAAGTCAACTTCTTTCTGAATTATGGCATTAATCCAAGTCAATAGGGAGATCTAGTGGCCCCAATCACTTTTAGTAAGCTTTATTTAAACATCTTAGGATAATATGTTGCTCAGATAGCTGCCATATCCAGTCTCTGTTTTCACCAATATGCTAAAGTAGTATTCACCAGTTCCAATGATACACCTTTTTTTTTTTTTTTTTTCCAAAAGAACTCTACCAACAGCAAATTTAAGCATCTCATTCAAGTTCACTTGTAAGGAAAACAGATAGCAATATAATGGCTATAAAACACCAGGAAGAAAACAATTTGGAATGACTTTCAAGAGAGAATTTCAAAATTCTAGCTGTCAGTACCTCAGTAATCTAAATTGTTTGTAAGGAGGTTTATTTGTTCATTCTATAATTAATACATATTGTCACTTCAGAGAAAATTTGGAAAATATAGAAAAATAGAAGAAAATGCAATGAATAACTGAACTATTTCATTGTAATTTTTATCCTGTCTCAAATATAACTTAAAATGAAAGTCATTCTTGCAATTTTGTGGAGTTTGGAATACAGGATGGAGAAAGGCAGAAGAAACAAAGAGAAAAGAACAACATTACAGAACGTTATGGAGATAAATGGCATACCTAAGAATGAGAGCTTTGCCATTGTATGTTGTTCTTTACTCGAAATACTCTTGCTATTCAAGATCTGGGCCTTGCTTGGCTGTAATCTTCCATTCTTGCCAAGTGTGTGTGGTATTTTGGGGATGTGGACAAATATCCACAGGAACTTGGCTGAGACCTACAGATATATTTTTACCTCCAACAGCAAACAACCAGGGCATTAACTTGCTCTACCATTTAGCACTTTACATTTGAACCACAGCAGGCCAGTTTAGTGTGGTCCTTTGTGAACCAAAATTAGAGTGCTGTAATCTGCCTTTCAGACTTTGATTTTTTCCAAGATTTATAAAGAAAGACATCATAGAATTTAGAGATAGATAAACTCTCAGAGATATAATTCCTTTGCTTAATAAATAAGGAAAAGTTGATGCAGGGGAAAGCACAGGATGAAAAGCCTAGGATTTAATTAGCCGTGAAGCTCTGGGCAAACCACATAACCATTCTGAGATTCAAGTCTCCTCATCTGGAAATTGATGGAATTGACCACAATAAATTTCAAGTGTCATTTGGCTTTCATATTCCAATAACCAATTTTGTGATTCTACGAAAGTGGAAAATGTAAGTAGTTTTTGATAAAATTCTCCATATGAAACTATGGAACTGAGAATTGTTTGCTCTTTGGTCAAGGCTTAATGACTTAGGCTACATTGGAAGTGTCTATGCTATATCAAAGGAGAGGGAATACAGTAATTAGCCCTGCCATGTCTAATCTGGTAAGGTATTGATACAAGGTAAAATGGAAAACAGGATATCCCATAGAATAATTTGGTATGGTTGATACCTGCCCTCATTTTCTCTCTTGTAATAAAAATTGAAGGATGGGGGATAAATGGATAGCAAAAGACATGTCACCTTCAAACAAGGGTTGATTCTTCACATGTTCATAAGGAGTAAGAGTGGTATGGCATTTCCAGCTCCAAAACTTTGCACACAGTTCCCACTCTCTGGGATGAATTTGAACCAACAAAACCTACTTCTTCTAAGAGGTCTCTCCTGATTATCCAGCTATCAAGGTCTCTCTCCCTTTTCTAAACTCCAATAGTACTTGCTGTGGGTGTTCCCCATTTTTCACTTAACATTTAGGTTTTGTTTTATTGGTTCTTTCCTTAGTGCTAGGCTTCTTACTTTTCCATACACCTGTGAGTCCTCAAAAGAAGGAGACCCTTTAGTGCTTGGAAAAGTTAGCACTAAGCCTGCTGCAGGTACATTTCTCCATTGGCATCTGAGATTAAAGGGACTTATGTTCCACTTTGCATGGTTTCGAATGGACAACAATGGGCACGATTCTTTCATTCTGCCATCCTTTAATTCTCCCTAGAAAGTGATTCAAATTTTTAAAGAAGAAGAATTGAGCACCACCTGCAATCCCCAAGATATACTTTGCTGCTTAACTCAGCTTTGAATGAAAACTCGGTTGAAAATATTTTCTTCCTTCTGTCTTTTGAAAATTGAAAGACCAAATGGAAAAAGACACAGGTCATACATATTCACCTATTCTAGTCAATGATTTAAATACAAACACTTCACAGACAAAGAACCAAAAATGAGGGAAAGCATTGATTAGTGAACCTTGTACATCCTGTTTAGAGATCAAAGGGGCCAATGAGCAGGGATCAAAGTAGGGGGAAATTCAGAATGTAACACCCTTGCGAAGCGACGTTTCTCACGATGTGGTATGGCTTAATCAGAGCCACTCTATTCAGCAGCTGCAAAGAGGAAAAGGAAAACAACCGTGAAAATTATTAATTAGGTAAGCTTACGCTCTGTGTGCCTTTCATGAAATAGAGCCATTTCAGCAGCTTGTGCCAGCTTTCAGTAGAGAGGCATTTTTGGAGAAGACCAACCTGTGCTGCAGGTAGGTTCCTTTTAGAAATGATCACAAAAGCACCTTGTTGCAGCAACCTGACAACCACACCTAGCTTGACTCAGTCTGCAAAACTCTTATACATTGTGAGGCTAGCTCACACCACAGGAATATGCTTCTAAGCTACTTCATTCGCAAAAGTTTAAAAAATTCCTTAAAGCAACCAACTCAGAATGTTACAAAGATTTAAGTAGCAATGCTCAACATCTGAATAATGTTTTACAGTTTTCAAAATGTTTTCACGCATATTCTTTTATTTGTTAATCATAACCTTACTCGAAGCTAAATAATCTGCTGTTGGGACGCCAAGTCGGTAATTAACAGAATAAGGACACATATCCTGGTCTGTTGAGTGTAGTGATACTTCTACATATGCCAGGTTATAAAATACAAAATTTCAGAAAAACATTAAGGTTGGCAATATGAATTAACACAAACAGTAAGGAACTTGGAAAGGAACAATAAATGAATGGTAGAGGTTCACTGCTTGGATCTGAGCTCTAGCAGGGTAATGGTAGTGATATTTTGAAAACCACGGGCTGGGCGCGGTGGCTCACGCCTGTAATCCCAGCACTTTGGGAGGCCAAGGTGGGCAGATCGAAAGGTCAAGAGATTGAGACCATCCTGGCCAACATGGTGAAACCCCGTCTCTACTAAAAATACAAAAATTAGCCGGGTGTGGTGGTGCGCACCTCTTGTCCCAGCCACTCGGGAGGCTGAGGCAGGAGAATTGCTTGAACCCAGGAGGTTGCAGTGAGCTGAGATTGCGCCACTGCACTCCAGCCTGGCGACAGAGCGAGACTCCTCAAAAAAAAAAAAAGAAAAGAAAATCACTTTGTATCTAAGTCCATAAATTTTAGACTCTGTGCAGATCAACCATTACCTTCTGTAAACACATTCTTTTCTCCATAGTGCATACCGTTGATTAGGTTTAAGCTTTTGTTATTTATAATCACATTCCAGATATATCTTCCTGAAGGGCACTCAAGTTAGCAATTCCATTTACAGATTATCAGTAAGAGTGGGTTTCTCCTGCAAATGGCTTATCTCATTCATTATTCTGCCTTTCTCCTAATTTTATCTTAATTTCACTTTTGGAGGAAATCTTGCCATTGCCCTCATTATCCATGGCTTTTGTGACTCAGTTATTATTAATGTCACTAGCGTTTTCCAAAATTTGTCTTTGTTTCTTTTTTTTCTTTCTGAAGTTATTTTTTAAATATTCTGTTTCCTCAGATCCCCCTCCCCCATTTCTTCCTCTTGCAGATAATTTGTAAGAATTCTACACTCTATGTCTTCCATTTCAGAAACTTAAGGTACAGGGTTCATGCTTCTTTTTTCTTCAGAGTTTGTGCAATCAACTCTCTATGTTCATTTTTCCCACTTCTGTGCCATGCTACCATGCTGCCAGGATACCATGATCACTTTTTCTCATTCAATTTTAAAACAAATTCCTTTTTCTGAGACAGCATTAGGTTTCCTCATTACTTCTTGTGCCTCCCTTGGGAAGGAAGTGAAGACATAATAAGAAACTGCCAGATACATTGGTTTTACCGTAGTATGTTGCATTGGAGATCCCCATTGCTGCTGGATCTTTCCCCCATGCCAATGTTAGGATCTACATCTTGCATAGTATAGCAAGTATAGCATCAGTTTCCTTTATGTGGTCATATAGTATGTAACAATTGTTCTTTTTATTCAGTGGCTTCTTGTATGCTTCAATTTACCTGATCATGAATTTCTATATAGTATGTATTAATTGTTTTAGAGATCTGAGAAACCAGAGAAGTTTTCTGAGGACATGCTGTTACACTCATTGTGATGATGGTAGTGTTGGTAGTGGCTCAACTGTCCTGACGTTTAGCAGTACAATCACAGGAATTAAGAATACCCTTAGATGTTCTGCAATGTTCTCTTTCTTTTCCTACAGAGCAATGAAGTAATGAGAGATACAGTGGTTGGGATGTGAGATTTTATGCTCAACTATAAAGGTGAGGAGCATAAGGATGACATATGGATCTTTCTCTCTTTGTTCCTTAACATGGAAGAATGCACACCATCTGCTTCAGCTGGAAACTATTAGTCCCGGAAGTTTGACTGTCCTAGAAATTCCCTGTGGACCCACAAGACTTGTCTGTGACTAGCTATTTTTTTCCTGTTTGTTTTAAAATTATTAATTTTAATTATCCTATATTTTTAAACTTATTTTCTCTTCTTTTGGGTGACACAGTATATCTTAATACTATGTCTCAATACCTCTCTTTCTTTGATATCCAATTACATTGACTTTTTATATTTTGTCACTTTTAGTCACTTTCTTTCTCATTTAATTTTTTATATCTAAATTAACACTTTGAACTTTTCATTCATCTTTGTCCATTTTTCTCTAGCTGGTTTTTCTACATTTACTTTAAAATCTCACTTGTTTTGTTGCTTACTTTTTCTTCTCTAACTTAGCAAATGCATATCAATCACCTCCTATATGTTAGACATCATTTATTCCATGTAATTTTATCAGAAATAAGATCAGATCTATCTTAGACATTTAGCACCAATCTACCTCTTTCTCTTTCTCTTCTCCTAGCCAAATCTGTTCCTATTCAATAATATATACTTTAAAAATCTATTCCTATATAAATTTTAAGTTTTATCCTAACAACTTATCAATCAGTATTTGTTATTCTGCATCATAAATCTCAAATTTTATTTTTCCATGATGTGTGCATTGATATATGAATATCTGAGATTACAAGTGTGTGTATTTTTTCAATCCCTTTCCAAGTTTATTATTTCTTATATGTATTACTGGATCCTTTTAAATTTTCCCTAAATTTTTCCCCTGATCTCTTCTGGTGGTATTGTTGATTCTTAGTCAAATTGGCATGAACGGTGGTCTCCATGGGTTGTTACATTCTGGGTATGTGCTTAAGAAACACAGCATACCTTGATATTGGTCATTCATTGTGTGTCAATCACACTTGGTATATTTATTCTTTCCGGATAAATACTAGTTTTTGTTGTTGTTGTTGTTGTTGTTTTTTTTTGTTTTGTTTTGTTTTGATGGAGTTTTGCTCTTGTTGCCTAGGCTGGAGTGCAATGGGGCAGTCTTGGTTCACTGCAACCTCCACCTCCCAGGTGGATTCTCCTGCCTCAGCCTCTGAGTAGCTGGGATTACAGGCATGTGCCACCACGCCCAACTAATTTTTGTATTTTTAGTAGAGACCGGGTTTCACCATGTTGGTCAGGCTGGTCTCGAACTCCTGACCTCAGGTGATCCACCCGCCTCGGCCTCCCAAAACGCTGGGATTACAGGCATGAGCCACCACGCCCGGCCTAAATACTAGGTTTCTTAGAACTTAGGGTTAGTTCCTCTTTATTAAGCTGATTATTTATTAATTCAACAAATGTTCCTTGAGTGACTTTTGTATGTAGATACTATAAGAGGTATGTCACATTTATTCCTTATAGATATACCTTATATGCCAGTGACTCTTTGTTCTCTCCCTCTTCTGTGCACACCTACAGAGTTACTACAGGAAAACTTGGTTTCTCTTTCTCTCCTTATTCTATATCATATTATTTTACTGAGTGTTTTCTTGTAATGGTTTGGAGTCTTGACTACGTAATCAGACACATGGTTTCCTGACTTCTTTTCTACATTATATTACTTTCATTCTACTGAGGAACTCATTCTCTTTGTTAAACCAAAATGTTAAGAGGCCTGTCTCATCAAGCAATGTGGACACATAGCTGGTACTTGCTGCAGAAGGAAGACAAATGTGACACATTCCTTTAAACTGTTTGGAAATAGGCCCCTTAGTTTCTATATATTTTTTTCTTGGTTAGTGTTGAATCTCAAATGAAATTAGCAAGCTTTGTAACTCCTCTTGATAGTGCTTCCAGAGATGACCCTCTAAGTGAACAATTCTCACCTGTTTGGTTCAGGCTTTGATCTTCTGGGGTTATAAGAGTTTGCTTTATATATAAGCCACTCCCTTCTCCCTCTATCATCAACTGCTTCCCTCTACCAGGCAATGCACAGTTGGTTGGCAACTGCCAGCAAATGACACCAACTGCTACCAAACTTCTATCTTCACAGAATAGCCACCAGATTGCAAGAAAATTACTCAGCCTTCCGATTCTCTAGCTTTTGCTGTGAGGACAATTGGCATTGGTTCATTACTAGGTTCATTACTTTTTAAATGTTAGGCCTTAGTATGAAGGAAGGTTACTTCTAGGATCTGAGTGTTTGAGATTAGGTGATCTCATCATCCTAGAGAGAAGGTTTAAGGAAAATAAAGAAAATGCCATCAATCATCTTAAATGTTATCGGGGACAATGTTCTATGTTTAAATGGACATATGATTTAATTTACAGAACCACTTTGCATTTGGTAAGAACTGAATCACAACTTGTTGAAAGTTTGTTTGAATGAACACTCAACATGTAATATGGTTAAGAGATTTTGTCTATGTCAGAAAGTCCAAATATATGAAATTCAAACATATTTTTGGAAATTCAAATGCAATAGAATCACCAACATGCACTGGTAATTAACAAAAGTGGGCAGCTCAGTTCAGGCAATAATTATTATTGATAATAACTGAAATAATAGGATTTTAAGTATAATGCCAATTGTTCGTCCTTGTTTATTGCATTATTAATATTGCCATGGACACCAATATTAAAGAGTCATTTTATTTAAGTTTGTAGTTGCGAGCTCAACTACTGAAACTTCTCACTTTAAAGAAAAGGCTTCTCAGACCATAAAAACTTCACCATGTCGAATTATCATAGACTGTCTCAAAGTTAAAGAAATTTCACCCTGTCACTATTTTATTGATAATTATTTTACTTTAGGAAGATACTCTCACTTTTGGGGTGCTAAAATTATTTTACATAATTGATGTAAGAGAGTTGTGACAAGAGTTTATATGTCTTTACTAGTCGTATTGAATATTTTGTGAAAAGTTGTGTGATTAAATAACTTTGGAAATAAATGCATCTTTATCTTGGAGACACACTTGGTTTAACCTAGTATATCAGTGTCAGAACGGAATTTTAAAGATCCATAACTGATAGTCTTCGTGCACTATTCACTCTCTGTTTTGTTCTGTCACAGGCACATATTTTAAACACATTTTGAGGATACACACTGATTTATCTTTTTGTTCCAACCAGTCCCTAATATAAAATAACGTACGAAAAATTCCTGTTCATAAATACTTGTTTTAGAAATTAAAATCTATTTAGGTCTTTTTGAATATATCTGCCTTCTTTGCCACAATACAATTTTCTATCAAGTAAACCTTTAATCCAGTAAGTATTGAATGATTTACCACTCACTAGCAAGCCCTACTCTCTGAGCCTCAATATCAAGCACTTACATGTTAAAAATGGTTTGAAAAATCTCATGTTAAAATTAAGAACAAATATAGTTATAAATGATGGAGAATACTGTGTCAGGAATCCGGAGCTGGGTTATAGTCCTGGCTTTAACAACCTAATGACCTTGGGTAAGCTACTCAACTTTCTCCAACTTCAGTTTCTTCATTCTTGCCTCTAAAAATATGTATCCAATTTGAATTTTACTATGTAATATGGGGTGTAAGGAATGTCACATCCTTTATTTCACTAAGTAAAATTTACTTTGTTTCCATACCCCTTCCTAGAAAGTAGGCAGCCATTTAAACCATCACCATTATTGGGGATCCTCATCTCCTCATCCTCCAAGGTTGTATGAAAGCCTGGAGTTCTTAGGTAATTCAGAGTATTCAGGGAGGCGCTTCTATCTTTGCCCAGAGTGGTCAGTGATAAAATGCTCATTGCCCAAGCTGGCTAATCCCTTGAAGGCAGTAGCTGTGTTTCTCTGGGGGTGGAAGTGGAGCATAGGAGATTTTTCCTGACTGGAAGTCATGGAATTTCTGGTCTTGCTGCACACAAGGCATGGCACCATCACGCTCACTGAGGTTCTGTCATAGCCTCAGGGCGTATGGTGCCCAAAGACTTTAATAGATAAAATTGCCCTAAGTGGGCTGGGCGCGGTGGCTCACGCCTGTAATCCCAGCACTTTGGGGGGCCAAGGCGAATGGATCACCTGAGGTCAGGAGTGTGAGACCAGCCTGGCAAACATGGCGAAACCCCGTCTCTACTAAAAATACAAAAATTAGTCGGGAGTGCTGGTGCGTGCCTGTAATCCCAGTTACTCTGGAGGCTGAGGAAGGAGAATTGCCTGAACCTAGGAGGCGGCGGTTGCAGTGAGCAGAGATCATGCCACTGCACTCCAGCCTGGGAAACAGGGTGAGACTCCGTCTGAAATAAATAAAATAAAATAAAAAAATAAAATAAAATGAAATAAAATAATACCCTAAGTTGTCTATATCAAACAGCTCATACTGGGATATTATGATTGTTCCTGGATGCAGCTATCAGGAAGAATGTAGACAGGTCCCCAGAACTCAAAAAACTCACAGGCCTTTATCTCCATTGTCTTTGGAAAATTTTGCCCCAGGCCAGGACCTGTTGTTTTTTTTCATCTGTCCATGCGCAGGTCTTTCTTCCCCATCCTACCTCCTTGCTGAATGCCCCTTTTGAGGATCTTTAGGAACTCAATGCTGGCCTTTCTGTTCCATAGGTATGTCTGGAAAGAACTGAGATCCTAGAAACTAATAAATGCTTTGTGAATAAAATCCTTTAAAAAGTCAGTTTTTTTTTTTTTTCTTTCCCATACTCATTCACCTGGTTAAGTATTATCGTTAGTGGTATCAAAACAAAGGTGTATCTGAAAGAAGGTAGCTGTCCTTGCCGGGGAAGTCAGAAGTCTCTGATTATTTTGTAGACGTGTCTCATTTTCTTAGGCTATATAAGTGGCTTTCAATTCTATCTTATACTCAATTTTAACATGGAGTTATGTCTTTATTCCTCAGTTCTCCCTCCTGCCAGACAAGCTTACTTGGGGCCTATTTGAATCTACTCGAATGTATTCTCTGTTGCATTCAAAAAACTAGAAAGACCAGAACAAGTTAAGAAAGAGTTGTTGATATGGTTTGGCTGTGTCCTCACCCAAATCTCATCTTGAATTGTAGCTCCCATAATTCCCACGTATTGTGGGAGGGACCCAGTGGGAGATAATTGAACTATGGGGGCGCTTTCCCTCATACTGTTTTCAAGGTAGTGAATAAGTCTCACAAGAGCTGATGATTTTATAACGGGTTTCCTCTTTCACTTGGCTCTCATTCTCTCTTGTCTACTGCCATGTAAGATGTGTCTTTCACCTTTTGCTATGATTGTGAGGTCTCCCTAGCCACGTGGAACTGGGAGTCCATTAAACCTCTTTTTCTTTATAAATTACCCAGTCTCAGGTATGTATGTCTTTATCAGCAGCGTGAAAACAGCCTTATACAGTTGTACTCTCTTCTGTACTAATCAACCAAGATTTGGAATAATATTTTCTTTTCTGAGCTGAATAGTGTGAAGATTAAACTGGTCCATATCCAGGATATAGCTATATGGATAGTAAAATATTTCTATTTGAAATTTGAGAAATAGTTAATTTGGGAAATATATTTAGGGAAAAGTATAATCATTCTCTTGTTCTATGTATTGTCTTGTGCATGCGTGTTTGCATGTGGGTGTACATGTGTGTCTCCAAAGGCATAATTTAGTTTCATTCTGAGATATTAATGGCGGACATTATAGAGTGAAAATTTCAACTTCGTAGTAAGTGTCAAAGTCAAATAAAATGCAGATGAATCTCTGAAATTAAAACATTTTGTTGGGGAAGAAAGAATTGCAATTCAGGGCATACGTGCAGACTGGATGGTCTTTGGCATGTCCAAAGATCAAAGAGAAGGTTAGCGGTTTTATTTAAAAAAAAAAGAGAGAGAGAGAGAGAGAAATGAGGCCCGGCACAGTGGCTCACACCTGTAATCCCAGCACTTTGAGAGGCTGAGGCAGGCGGATCACCTGAGGTCAGGAGTTCGAGACCAGCCTGGCCAACATGGCGAAACCCCGTCTCTACCAAAAATACAAAAATTAGCTGGGCGTGGTGGTGTGTGCCTGTAATCCCAGCTACTTGGGAGGCTGAGGCAGGAGAATCTCTCGAAGCCAGGAGGCAGAGGTTGCAGTGAGCCAAGATTGTACCACTGCACTTGAGCCTGGGCTATGGAGCGAGACTGTCTCAATAAATAAATAAATAAATAGAAATATTATGTATTGCTCTTTGAGAAAGTCCATTAGCACTGGTAAGGTTTTGGGAAAAATGACAAGTTTAGATTGGTAAGTGACAGACGTGAGTAAAACTATTCTTAGAATTGCAGGATGTTGTTTCAGAAGCTATTAGATAAAACTGGTTTCAGGTTACAGCAGGCAGTTTCAGCAGCCAGGCCCACAGAGAATTACATTCTTGGATCACTGTTATTGTGCCCTGAGTGCTTTCTCCCCCAGCCTTTTGACTCTGTTTCAGTTTGTTATAACAAGAATGACCCAATGTGTATGATCACCTTTTGCAATAAGGAAATACATTTTGTCAATTATATTTCTTGAAAAGGAAGCAGACAGGCTCTCTAAAGTAGTGCATTTTCTGTCCTTGAAGATCTTAAACTGGATTCACTGTACTCATGGGCCAGATAGAGTATAGAAATGATTCTTGTATTGAATCCATAGCTGTACTCCATGGCCTCCAAAGCCACCTGTCACCTCCTGCCTCTATACACACACACACACACACACACACACACACACACCCCATCCATTAGGTGCCCCCCTCCCCTCTAATTCTAAGATATCTAAAAATGCTGGGACCATAGACAATTCTCAATCATTGGATTATAAATGATTTGGAGGGTTTTTAAAAGACTATATGATTATAAAATATAAGCATTTAAGTCATTTTGATGGAAATATGATGATGATCTGGAAGCATAATTATTATACTACTCCCTTCCTTATCTCAACTCTGTTGGACTGATTTTAAGACTATTTCCTCGATCTCTCCTTCATGCACCTGAAGTCAATTCCACACAGACTTCACATAGAATTAATGTTTAAGTTTTGTTCTGTGCTGAAATCCTAACAAATATTCCCTACCAGTTTCAGAATTTCAGTTTGCAAAAAGATACAAGTGACTGGATATCCTGATATATGCCAATTGTACCCAGCAGTCTTTTTGTCTTCTCTTGTCTTTCTTTTTGGAAATCCTGGAGCCCAGATTTCTTTCTTTGCCTTAAGTCTCAGTCTAGGTGTTTTCTGTGGCTTTTTTCCTATTCTGTTTCTCTTATGTTTTAAAAATGGCCTCTCAACCTTTTCCCACTTACTTTCCTTGGTCTACAAAGCCAAAGGGGAGGCAAGAAAATGTATACATTGTTGGGTGGCTTTCAGATAACCATAATGCACATCATGGTGCCCTCCCCTACTCCCCATCCAGTGACCTGGAACATAAGCCAAGCAGATTTCAGCTGAGGCAAAAAACTGTGCATCAGGTTAGGTAGTCTGTTGGCTTTCTCTACCTTTTAAATTGACATTCAATTATTCTGTTGTATTTTAAAATAAAACAGTCCTTACTGACAAAGTAAAGCTGTGTCAAACCTCAGGCCAATTAAAACCACATGAAAATAAACTCATTCCCGGTATTGGTAAAAGGGACTAGGCTCTTTTTGAAAAAATAATGTGGTGCCTCTTGAATATTCAATTTAATGCTTATGCATAATGGCCCAGTAATGTTCCCAGAAATATTCATAATACCTTTCTGATCTGGCTATATCTCGAGGAAGTTACCCAGAGACACACAGATTTTGGTTTGGGACACCATCTCCTCTCCTCACAGAAAGCTAGTGAGAGGTGGGCAGAGGAGGGGAGGTGATGAGTGAATCCCTCCAATGATTTACTGGAAATTTTTTCTCAAATTTTCAGGCCTGGAAATTGGGTTTGTTATATTCATCATTTAGTTGAACTGCATTTTTATTTTCTATCAGTTTGCATGTACTTCCTCCTTACCTAGTGTCTGAATTATATTCCTTGCTTTTAATGTTTATTTATTAAGTACAATTTAGAAGGCACAGTTGCGTGACAGGAACTTAGAATTTTATTTCATATTCCACAGTTAAAAAATGGCAAATATGCGGCCACATACATACATTTTATTTGAACTTAACATTTTTACTGTTTTAATCTGTGATTTGGACCACTGTGATTTGGACCATTGAAAGTAAATGGACTTTAATAATAAGGGTTTATATGATGATATACATGAGTACATATTGTTAGTTTACACTTACATTGTCCTTGGCTTAAGAATAAAAATACATAATTATAAAGTATACATTATGTGATTTATATGTAGTTTTTTTAGCTATAGAAAGAACCACATATTATGCAAACTTTTAAAATGATCCCTACCTCCTGGTATTCATGACCTTGAGTAATCCTCTCCTATTGATTGTGGGCTGAACCTAGTGACTTGCACCTAATGAACAGAATATGGCAAAAGTGAGAAGATGTCCTTTCCATATTAAGTTATAAAATATCATGACTTTTTCCTTGCTAGCAGATGCTATCTTTTACTAGATTTGATGAAGCAAGCTGCCATGATGAAGAGCCTCATATTTCAAGAAACTGAAGGTGGCCTCTGTTCAACAGCACACAAGGAAGTGAATCTTATCGACAACCACTAAATGATCTTAGAAGGAGATCCTGCCCCAATTTAACCTTGAGATGACTGTGAACCTGCACTAAAAACCTAATTGCAGCCTTGTGAAAGGTGCTGAGCTAAAGGATCCAACTAACTTATACCTAACTCACATAAACTGTGAGATAATAAATGCATGCTCTCTTAAGATGCTAAATTTTGGGATAATTTGTTACGCAGCAATAGTTAACTGAGGCAGACTATATCCTTATCCATTGCTTTAGTCAGTCATAGCTTCTTTCAGGTCTCCTGGGAGATTTTTATTCTCTCTGTCTTTTTTTCTTTCCAACTTTTATTTTAGGTTCAAGGGATGTATGTGCAGGTTTGTTACAGGGTAAATTGCATGTTGCAGGGGTTTGGTGTACACATTATTTCATCACTCAGGTACTGAGAATAGTACTGGATAGATAGTTTTTCGGTTCTCACCCTCCTACTACCCTCCATCTTCAAGTAGGCCCCAGTGTCTATTGTTTCCTTCTTTGTATCCATGTATACTCAATGTTTAGCTCCCTTTCATATAGCTGAGAATATGTTGCATTTGCTTTTCTGTTCTTACCTACATTAATTCACTTAGGATAATGGCCTCCAACACTATCCACATTGCTGCAAAGGACATAATTTCATTCTTTCTTATGGCTGCATAGTGTTCCATGGTATATATGTACCACATTTTCTTTATCCAGTCCACCACCAATGGGCATCTAGGTTGATAGGTTGATTCCATGTCTTTACCATTGTGAATAGTGCTGCAATGAACATATGAGTTCATGTGTCTTTATGGTGAACGATTTATATTCCTTTGGCTATATACCCAATAATGGGATTGCTGGGTTGAATGTTAGTTCTACGTTCTTTGAGAAATATCCAAACTGCTTTCCACAGTGGCTGAAGTAATTTACATTCCTACTACCAATGTGTAAGCAGTATCTTTTCTCTGCAACCCCATCAGCATCTGTTATTCTTTGACTTTTTAATACTAGCCATTCTGACTGATGCAAGATGGTATCTCATCTGGTTTTGATTTGCATTTCTCTTTCTTTTTTATTATTATTATTATACTTTAAGTTTTAGGGTACATGTGCACAACGTGCAGGTTAGTTACATATGTATACATGTGACATGCTTGTGCACTGCACCCACTAACTTGTCATCTAGCATTAGGTATATCTCCCAATGCTATCCCTCCCCCCTCTCCGCACCCCACAACAGTCCCCAGAGTGTGATGTTCCCCTTCCTGTGTCCATGTGTTCTCATTGTTCAATTCCCACCTATGAGTGAGAATATGCTGTGTTTGGTTTTTTGTTCTTGCGATAGTTTACTGAGAATGATGATTTCCAACTTCATCCTTGTCCCTACAAAGGACACGAACTCATCATTTTTTATGGCTGCATAGTATTCCATGGTGTATATGTGCCACATTTTCTTAATCCAGTCTATCATTGTTGGACATTTGGGTTGGTTCCAAGTCTTTGCTATTGTGAATAGTGCCGCAATAAACATACGTGTGCATGTGTCTTTATAGCAGCATGATTTATAATCCTTTGGGTACATACCCAGTAATGGGATGGCTGGGTCAAATGGTATTTCTAGTTCTAGATCCCTGAGGAATCGCCACACTGACTTCCACGATGGTTGAACTAGTTTACGGTCCCACCAACAGTGTAAAAGTGTTCCTATTTCTCCACATCCTCTCCAGCACCTGTTGTTTCCTGACTTTTTAATGATTGCCATTCTAACTGGTGTGAGATGGTATCTCATTGTGGTTTTGATTTGCATTTCTCTGATGGCCAGTGATGGTGAGCATTTTTTCATGTGTTTTTTGGCTGCATAAATGTCTTCTTTTGAGAAGTGTCTGTTCATGTCCTTGGCCCACTTTTTGATGGGGTTGTTTGTTTTTCCTTGTAAATTTGTTTGAGTTCATTGTAGATTCTGGATATTAGCCCTTTGTCAGATGGGTAGGTTGTGAAAATTTTCATTTTGTGGGTTGCCAGTTCACTCTGATGGTAGTTTATTTTGCTGTGCAGAAGCTCTTTAATTAGATTCCATTTGTCAATTTTGGCTTTTGTTGCCATTGCTTTTGGTGTTTTAGACATGAAGTCCTTGCCCATGACTGTGTCCTGAATGGTAATGCCTAGGTTTTCTTCTAGGGTTTTTATGGTTTTAGGTCTAACGTTTAAGTCTTTAATCCATCTTGAATTGATTTTTGTATAAGGTGTAAGTTGAACATTTTTTCATATGCTTGTTGGCCACATGAATGTCTTCTTTAGAGAAATGTCTCTTCATGTCCTTTGCTCATTTTTAATGAGGTTGTTTGTTTTTTTGCTTGTTAATTTGTTTAAATTCCTTACAGTTTCTGGATATTTGACTTTTGTGAAATGCAGTTTACGAATATTTTCTCCCATTCTGTAGGCTGTCTGTTTACTCTGCTGATAGTTATTTTTGCTGTACAGAATCTATTTAATTTAATTAGGTCCTATCTGTCAATTTCTGTTTTTGTTGCAACTGCTTTTGGAGTTTTCATCATGAAATCTTTGCCAGGATCTGTGTCCACAAAGGTATTTCCTAGGTTTACCTCTAGGGCTTTTATAGTTTTAGGTTTTATATTTAAGTCTTTAAATCCACCTTGAGTTGATTTTTGCAGATGGTATAAGCAAGGAGTCCAGTTTCAGTCTTCTGCATGTGGCTAGCCAGTTATTCAAGCACCATTTTTTGAGCAGGGAGTCCTTTCCCCATTGCTTGGTTTTATCAACTTTGTTGAAGATCTGATGGCTGTAGTTGTGCAGCTTTATTTACGGGTTCTCTAACCTGTTTCATTGGTCTATCTGTCTGTTTTTGTACCAGTACAATGTTGTTTTGGTTACTGTAGCCTTGTAGTATAGTTTGAAGTTGGGCAATGTGATACCTCTGGTTTTGTTCTTCCTGCTTAGTACTGCTTTGGCTATTTGAGCTCCTTTTTTGGTTCTATATGAATTTTAGAATAGTTTTTTCTTATTCTTCAAAAATCGTCATTGCTGTTTTCACAGGAATAACATTGAATCTGAAAATTGCTTTCAGCAGTATGGCCATTGTAACAATACTGATTCTTCCTATCTATGAGCATGGAATGTTTTGTTTGTTTCATCTCTGATTTCTTTAATCAGTGTTTTGTAATTCTCATTGTAGAGATCTTTCACCTCCCTGATTAAATGTATCACTAGGTATTTTATTCTTTTTGTGGTTATTGTGAATGGGATTGCATTCTTGAATTGGCTCTCACGTTGACGTATAGACATGCTATTGATTTTTGTACTTTGATTTTGTATCCTGAAACTTTGCTGATGTTATTTATCAGATCTAGGAGCCTTTGAGGAGTAACTGGGGTTTTGTAGGTATAGAGTCATAGTATCTGTGGAGAGAGATAGTTTGACTTCCCCTCTTTCCTACTTGTATGCTTTTATTTCTTTCCCTTGCCTGATTGCTCTGATTAGGATTTCCAGTACTATGTTGAATAAAAGCAGTGAGAGTGGGCATCCTTGTATTGTTCTTGTTCTCTAGGGGAATGCTTCCAGCTTTTGCCTGTTTGGTATGATATTGGCTGTGGATTTGTCACAGATGCCTCTTTTTATTTTGAGGTACGTATCTTTGACACCTAGTTTGTTGATGGTTTTTAGCACGGACTGGACGTTAAATTTTATCAAAAGCCTTTTCTGTGTCTATTAAGATGATCGTGTGGTTTTTGCTTTTTGTTCTGTTTATGTGATTAATCACATTTATTGATTTGCATATGTTGAACCAACCTTGCATCCCAGGAATAAAGTATACCTGATTGTGGTGGATTAGCTTTTTGATGTGTTGTTAGGTTTAGTTTGTTAGTATTTTGTTGAGGATTTTTGCATCTATGTGCAGCAAGGATATTGGCCTGAAGTTTGCGTGCATGTGTGTATGTGTGTGTGTGTGTCTGCCAGATTTTGCTATCATAATGATGCGGGCTTCACAGAATGAGAGAGGAAGGAATCCCTGCTTCTCAATTTTTTGGAGTAGTTTCAGTAGGATTGGTACTAGCTCTTCTTTATACATCTGGTAGAATTTAGCTGTGAAACTGTCTGGTCCGGGGATTTTTTCTGGTTGGTAGGCTTTTTATTACTGATTCAATTTTGGAACTCACTATTGGTCTGTTCAGGGTTTCTATTTCTTCCTGGTTCAATCTTTGGAGGTTGTATATTTCCAGGAATTTATCAATTTCTTCCAGGTTTTCTAGTTTGTGTGCATAAAAGTGTTCATAATGGTTTATGAGGGTTTTTGTATTTCTGTAGGGTTGGTAATTTTATTCACTATTCTAAATCTTTAAATCCTGAATATGTGGCCAGTTCTAAGGATCTCACTCTGTTGCCCAGGCTGGAGTGCAGTGGCACAATCACAGCTCACTGAAGCCTTGACCTTTCCAGGTCCAAGAGACCCTCGCACCTCAGCCTCCTGGGTTGCTGGGACTACAGGCACGCACCGCCACACCTGGCTAGTTTTTTAATTTTTTTGTAGAGGTGGGGTTTCACCATGTCACCCAGGCTGGTCTTGAACTCCTGGGCTCAAGCAATCTGCCCACCTCAACCTCCCAAAGTGCTGGGATTGCAGGCATGAGCCACTGCGCCGGCCTATTTATATTCTTAATGTGTGTTTTCTTTTTAGCTTTCCTCATTACATGAAGTGTTGGACATACTCTCAGTTAATTGCTAGAAGAAATGTTATTATTGGACATGAAGTACAGTAACAGCTCATTTATCTGGTAAATTTGGCTACTTAGAAGGAAGCAGAAAAGGCCTCCGTGCAGCTAAAACAGCCCTCAATTATAACTTATCTATAGCTTCCTTTTGGGTTCTTGCTTAGGTCTTAATTTCCATCTTTCATTCCTTTTCCTCTGTGCATACCTTGTGTATTTCCTTCTTTTCTTCTCTCTTTTATCAAACACTTATTGAGTGCTTATAAAGATGTGAGCATTGTGCTAAGGGTTGAGGAGACAGTGATGAACTAATCTGAATATAATCTCTGCTTGTATGGAACCAGTAGTCTAGTGGGAAGGTAGAATGTTAATTGAATTATTGTGTTAGGAAATGTTTAAAAAACATGTGAGGCAAGTGTTCTGAAAAAACTAAGTGGGGCTGGGCACGGTGAGTCACACCTGTAATCACAGCACTTTGGGAGGTCAAGGAGGGTGGATCAAGAGGTCAAGAGATCGAGACCATCCTGGCCAACATGGTGAAACCCCATGTCTACTAAAAATACAAAAAATTAGCCAGGCATGGTAGCGGGTGCCTGTAGTCCCAGCTACTCAGGAGGCTGAGGCAGGAGAATCACTTGAACCCGGGAGGCGGAGGTTGCAGTGAGCCAAGACTGCGCCACTGCACTCCAGCCTGGCAACACAGTGAGACTCCATCTCAAAAAAAAAAAAAAAAAAACTAAATGGTCATGTAGCATAAAAGTTAAGGGGGCAGGGCTTTTAATTGCCTTTATTTAAATCACACTCCCAGTTCTTCTTTGTTTTGTGACTTTATACTACCTACCAGCCCTTTTGTGCCTCATTTTCTTCATTTGTGCTACAGTTTGAATAGTTTCCCTCCAAAATCCAGGTGTTGCCAATGTGATCGTATTAAGAGGTCGGTCTTTAATAAGTGAATAGGCCATGCGAGCTTCCTCCTGGTTAATGAGATTAAGGCCCTTAGAAAAGATGCTTCCTGCAGCATTTAGTTAGCTTGCCCTTCTGCGAAAGCATGAAGGATGTAGGAAGAAGGCCCTCACTAGACCAAATGCCGGCACCTTGATCTTGGACTTCCCACCTTCCAAACTGTGAAAAATAAATTCCTGGTTTTTAATGAATTACCCATTCTCAAGTTTTATGTTAAAGCAGTACAAATGGCCTAAAACGGGAATGATATGGTCTGTAAAATAAGGTTTATGTGAGGATTAAATAGATTATGTGAGGATTACATAGATTAATACAGGTAAATGCTTAGAAGAGAGCTTGTTGTGTAGTAGCTCAGTAAAGATACTTAACAAGGGGATTTGACTTTGATGTAGGTCTGGAAAGTCCTTCCTAAGAAAGTAAGGAGGGAGCTGAGGCCTTTGGCACATGCCCCTCCTCCAGGTTCACAGCAGATCAAAGGAAACTGGCTGACGATTCTTTTCTTTTAGCAATTAATTTCTTAGTCCATAGAGTAATAGCTAACAACAGGAGAAGAGAGATACACTATACAAATTAAACACATGAGTTAGAAAACATAGAAAGTCCTGAGTAACTTTATGTAATATGGCAAATACTGTTATTAGCCCTGCAGGCATCACTGACATAATAGAATAAATATTGTCTTGGTAGTATGCATTTAGTTACAAGTGACAGACAACCCAGCTCAAATAATGTTGCCTGATGCAAGTTGGAAATCCAAAAGGGAAACTTCCTGGATTTTTTAATTTAGCAACTCTATGATGGCATCACAGGCTCGTTATGTTTGTTCTGTTCTGTATTCTAGTTTTGTAACAGGCACTGTACTAAGGCAGTTTCATCTGGTGACTCTTGTGGTTAAACCATGGCTGCTAAGTTTATGGGACATCATCAACCATTTGCATAAAGACTTAGATTTTTTTTTTTAATTAGATGTCCCTAGCAAATACCTTTTGCAGTCTCATGGGCCTAAATGGAATAGAGAAGCCCACTTGTGAAACAATAAATGTGGTCATAGCAAAGTACAATACATAGTACCTTAGACACATCCCCTCCAATTTCAAATGCCAAGGAAGGTGGGATTAGGAGGTACAACCTCCCAAACCTGAAGTCTTCACTAACAGATGGAGTAAATACATTTTAATGGATACATCTGCAGTGTCCATCACACTAATGCTCAAAACGATTATTCTAAATTATATAAATAAATGACAGTAAGTACAATTTAGGAATAAAATCCTTGAATTTCTTAAAATTCAGCTTAAATGAGAAAAGCTTTTAGTCAGATATTTGCATACGTGGAATGTTTCATTTCCTGTCAATGCCTCATTGACATGTCTCATTGTTCATAATTGAGTTTCATTGAGAAATTCCTGGGATTATTCTGGCCAATAAACCAGTTTCATGAGATGATATCTGAAACAGTGACAATGATGTTCTTTTGTGTCTTGTCTAGTTATTCATAAAAATAGCATGACATTAGTGGCCTCAAAACCTTAAATTATGGCAATTGCCCCTTCTGGTATAATCTTGACTTTATAGCCCATGATATTTGGCTAAATTGAATTAAATAGAATAACTATCAGTTTTGGGGAAAGTCTGACAAACTGAACATAAATAGGACAAAAGCATATATAGGTTCAAAGTAAGAGTTACTGGTATCTTCTCTTTGCCTTTTAAAATGGATTTGAAGTTAACTGTGCATTTGGTGAAAATATTTGCAACAGGAGTAAAGTGTTATAAAAAGGCAGGATTATTTAAGAGAGAAAATAGATAACTAGCAAGGGATAAAAATATTTTGGGGTCATGGGGGATCCATTTAAAAGCAAATTTGCAATTGCTGTAAATGTCTCTTTGGTGGCCAGCATTCCACAAATGCTGCACAGAAACACACTCATTTTCAATGTTCCACAGTTCCAGAGTTATTTTAAAAAGATACTTTCTCAACACATGAAGAAGCTTAAAGTTACAGCATCAGGAAAATATCCTTGGTAGATCCATGTGTTTATCATTTACTTTAGAAATATTTGTGCCTACAGTTTTGTCTTTGAGAGCTGTATTTAGGTGGTCCTGACTGGGCATTCTATATCTATGGGAGATTTTAATTTTCTGGGGAAAACTTTCACAAACATTGAAGTTAACCCAATGTTTCTGCCTTGCACTTAATTGAGATATTTTGGGAATGAGCAGTCAGAATATTTTATTTTATAAGTGGCATAACATAATTAAAACTAAAAATGGAAAGTCAAACTATAAGAATTTATCGCCCCCGCGCGCCAGTCCTGCCGAGCTGGCCAGCCGGCCTGGCTCCCCTCCCTGGCCCCATGGGCGGGCGGACTGCCCAGAGGAGGAGAGGAGGGGGCTGAGCCGGCCGGCGGCGGGCAAGGATGCGGAACTTCTGCGCTGCCCTTAACTGCACGCGGAAGAGCACGCAGTCCGACCTGGCCTTCTTCAAGTTCCCGCGGGACCCGGCCAGATGCCAGAAGTGGGTGGACAATTGTAGGAGAGCAGATTTAGAAGATAAAACACCTGATCAGCTAAATAAACATTATCAATTATGTGCCACACATTTTGAGACCTCTATGATCTGTAGAACTATACATTTTGCAGAGGCATCAGAAAACTAAACAATTGGTTTATTTTATTTCTCAAAACTAATTGAAGCAGATACTCGTGAAGTCATTGGGAGAGTCCTTACAGGACAGTTCTTCGAGATAATGCAATACCAACAATATTTGATCTTACCAGTCATTTGAACAACACACAGAGTAGACACAGAAAACGAATAAAAGAACTGAGTGAAGACGAAATCAGGACACTGAAACAGAAAAAAAGTTGATGAAACTTCTGAACAGGAACAAAAACATAAAGAAACCAACAATAGCAATGCTCAGAACCCCAGTGAAGAAGGGGGTGAAGGACAAGATGAGGACATCTTACCTCTAACCCTTGAAGAGAAGGAAAACAAAGAATAACTAAAATCTCCATTTGAAATCTTGATTCTGATGGGAAAGCAAAACATACCTCTGGATGGATATGAGGCTGATGAAATCCCAGAAGATCTCTTTACTCCAGATAACTTTCAAGCACTGCTGGAGTGTCGGCCCGGATAAATTCTGGTGAGGAGGTTCTCAGAAAGCAGTTTGAGACAACAGCAGTTAACACGTTGTTTTGTTCAAAAACACAGCAAAAACAGGTGCTAGAGATCTGTGAGAGCTGTATTCGAGAATAAACTCTCAGGGAAGTGAGAGACTCACACTTCTTTTCCATTATCACTGACAATGTAGTGGACATAGCAGGGGAAGAGCACCTACCTGTGTTGGTGAGGTTTGTTGATGAATCTCATAACCTGAGAGAGGAATTTGTAGGCTTCCTGCCTTATGAAGCTGATGCAGAAATTTTGGCTGTGAAATTTCACACTGTGATCACTGAGAAGTGGGGATTAAATATGGAGTATTGTCGTGGCCAGGCTTACATTGTGTCTAGTGGATTCTCTTCAAAAATGAAAGTTGTTGCTTCTAGACTTTTAGAGAAATATCCCCAAGCTATTTACATGCTCTACTCTTCCTGTGCCATAAACATGTGGTTGGCAAAATCAGTACCTGTTACGGGAGTATCTGTTGCATTAGGAACAATTGAGGAAGTTTGTTCTTTTTTCTATCGATCGCCACAACTGCTTTTAGAACTTGACAATGTAATTTCTGTCCTTTTTCAGAACAGTAAAGAAAGGGGTAAAGAACTGAAGGAAATCTGCCATTCTCAGTGAACAGGCAGGCATGATGCTTTTGAATTCCAGCAAGCACTTGTTTTATGTTTAGAGAGTACAGTGACACAAATATTAGATGGAATAACTGTATAGCTGGCCGCGCCTTTGTACTCTGCAGTGCAGTAACAGATTTTGATTTCATTGTTACTACTGTTGTTCTTAAAAATGTCCTTTTACAAGAGCCTTTGGGAAAAATCTCCAGGGTCAAATCTGATGTCTTCTTTGCAGCCGGTAGCTTGACTGCAGTACTGCATTCACTCAACGAAGTGATGGAAAATATTGAAGTTTATCATGAATTTTGGTTTGAGGAAGCCACAAATTTGGCAACCAAACTTGACCTTCAAATGAAACTCCCTGGGAAATTCCGCAGTGCTCACCAGGGTAACTTGGAATCTCAGCTAACCTCTGAGAGTTACTATAAAGAAACCCTAAGTGTCCCAACAGCGGAGCACATTATTCAGGAACTTAAAGATATATTCTCAGAACAGCACCTCAGAGCTCTTAAATGCTTATCTCTGGTACCCGCAGTCATGGGACAACTCAAATTTAATACCTAGGAGGAACATCATGCTGACATGTTGTAGAAGTGGCTTACCTAATCCCAACATGCTCTCAGCCGAGCTTCATTGTTGGAGAATCAAATGGAAACGCAGGGGGAAAGATACAGAGCTTCCATCCACCATCTGTGAAGCCCTCCATCTGCCTGACATCAAGTTTTTTCCTAATGTGTATGCATTTGCTGAAGGTCCTGTGTATTCTTCCTGTGATGAAGGTTGAGAATGAGTGGTATGAAAATGGATGAAAGCATCTTAAAGCATATTTGAAGTACACTTTGACAGACCAAAGATCAAGTAACTTGGCTTTGCTTAACATAAATTTTGATATAAAACATGACCTGGATTTAATGGTGGACACATATATTAAACTCTATACAAGTAAGTCAGAGCTTCCCACAGATAATTGGGAAACCATGGAAAATACCTAAGAGACTTTTAAAAACAGGCTTTTTTTTTTTTTTTTTTTTGAGACGGAGTGCAGTGGCGCGATCTTGGCTCACTGCAAGCTCTGCCTCCCAGGTTCCCACTATTCTCCTGCCTTAGTCTCCCTAGTAGCTGGGACTAAAGGCACCAGCCACCATGCCTGGCTAATTTTTTGTATTTTTAATGGACACGGGGTTTCACCGTGTGAGACAGGATGGTCTCGATCTCCTGACCCCGTGATCTGCCTGCCTTGGCCTCCCAAAAAAATAGGCTTTCTTATATTTGATATTTGGAAGTAAAGCAATAAGGTGTATATAGGCCACTTAATCACTAAATATCTTTGCCTATAGGACTCCATTGAATACATTAGCCATTGATAATCTACCTGTTTAAATAGCCCCTGTTTGAACTCTCATGTTTTGAGGACCTATCTGTTCTTCCAGAAGAGAACATTGAAAGTGCCATGTTTCCTTCTGCATGTTCTCTGCTGGTGGCACTCTGGAATTGTTTTAGTTAAGTCATTTTAGACATAGCATTTATTATCACTGTGGATCTCTACTCATTGGGTGTGAATGAATTCTTTGAAGAAATATATTTTGAAGAGGTATGGGAGGAAGGAATACATTTTATAAAATGTTATAGTGAAGCCCACAATTGACCTTTGACTAGTAGGAGTTTTAAGTATGTTAAAAATCTATACTGGACAGTTACAAGAAATTACCAGAGAAAGAAAAGCTAGTGAGCTCACCAAACAAGGATTTCAGTGTAGATTTTGTCTTTCTCAAATGAACTTAAGGGAACAAATGACAGTTAAAGTTTGAATTGAAGTCTGCCATTGTTCCACATCTGGTTGTTTCTGTTTACATTCCTCTGTGGAGCCTACAGCTTCCTAAGCTTCTTAGCAGGTATATGTTGAACACTTCTGTTTCATGGATAAGACAGAATCAGAGGCCATGGATACTGACAACTCATTTATCTGTTTTTTTCTGTCTTTTTCCATGACTTGTCTTCATTTATAAGCAAAACCTGGAAAACCTACAAAAATAAGTGTTGTGGTTTATCTAGAAAAATATGGAAAATATTGCTGTTATTTTTGGTGAAGAAAGTCAATTTTGTATCATTTATTTCAATCTAAATAGAATGTGAATTTTGTTTAAAAATTTGTCTTTTTCTTTGAAAAGATTTAAATTTGTACAAATGCAGACTTTTTTCTCTTCATGCCATCCTCTTATTCCCTTACTATGTATATTAAAAGTGCCTTCTAGTTTTTTTATCTATATTTAAGTAACTTCATACTTAAAAGTTACAAAAATTCTGAGAGCAAATTGTAAATGTGATGCCCCAGGACATCTAAAATTTCAGTGTGTATTTCACCAAATCAAGGACACTCTCCATCATAGGACAAGAAATCAACACTGGTACAATACCACTATCCAATGTATAGGCCTCATTCAAGTTTTGCCAACTTTACCTACAATATTTCTTCTCTGCTTTGGCACATGATTCAGTTCAGGAATACACAATGCACTTGTCACAGCCCTTTGGTGACATTCCATCTGAAACCATGTCTGTCTTTCTCTGTTTTTCATTACCCTGACAGTTTTAAAAGAGTACAGGTCTTTCATTCTTTAGGATGTCTTCAGTGTGGTCCATGGAATATTTCTTTATCACTGGACTTGAGCTGTCCTTTCTTGGAAGGAACACCTCAGAAATAATTTCTGCTCTTCTTAGAGGATCACATGAGGAGGTACACAATGCTAACACTTTACAACCTTCACACGTCAAGGTTAATAAGTGATGTTAACTTTGTTTTTTCACCAAAAATATACCATTCAATTCCTTCATAATTTATAAGTATTTTGTAGGGAGATACTCTGAAATTACAGCAGTGTCTAGTGTCACATCAAAATCTACCCACCAGCCTTAGCATCCATTGATGATACCTGCCTGAATTAGCCACAACAATGATGGGTGTAAAATGGTGATTTTCTATTTCTATCATTTCTTCTCCATTAATTACTTGGCATTCTACCATAAGAAAGATTTTTCTCTCCTATATGTTTTTTAATTTATTTATATAAATATGAACTCCTGAATCAATTTTTTAATGTGTGGTAATATATTACCATCATTATTTATTTTGATGTTCAAATAGTCTCAGATATGGTCACTGGAATCTCCAGGCTAACTCCTGGATCCTTTTGACATTTAATTCTTTGCACATTTAACAAATTTCTGGCACAAGATATTCCTGGCTCATTTTGTATTTTCCCTGCTTCACCTTTGGGACCAGTCGTTTCACTAAGGTATTTAGAAATCAAGATCTGGG